>NC_000005.10:111927988-112231019 GCF_000001405.40 Homo sapiens
GATTGGCAGCCAGAAATCTGTGTGAGGAAAAATCCTGGTACAAGGCAGAGTGAAGAGAAGGGAGGAGATGATTGCTAAACACCTCTCCACTTGACAGTTGCACCATGGCCCACACCTGCTCCCCGCCACCCTGAGATCATATGGCATTCTTCAGCAGTAGACTTCAAGTATTTTTGCTCATATATCCCCTAAAAGAATTTTGCAAACTATTTACATCGCATAGACTTTTAAGTTAACATCTAGAATTTTTATCATAAATTTAAATAGTTGAAAATGTGGTGATTTCTGGCACATAATAGAGATGCTTTAAATATATTTTCCTCAAAATCTTGAAGCTTCTGATTTAGTTTTTTTAATTTTTAGAAATTGTCTTTCCTTATAAGGAAAATGACAAATAAGGTTCTCAGTTTCAAATTGAGGAAAGCAGACTTAATTTATGTCAGAAAAAAATCTGACTGTATTTGAATTGAAATATATGTGTGAATCTACGTCCCTGTGCTAACCATCTGACTTCTGAATTCCAGTTTTAGAAGAGATAGAGAAGGCATGGAACTCAGCCATGAGTTTGAGGCCTGATGAAATAATGTGTTGCCCCCTCTAATATTTTTCTACTGGAGCCTCTCTTTGTTTTCCTCTCATACAATACTCCCTCATGAGCTGTGAAGTGTCAAGTTTTCCCCTGAGTAGCTTAGTGGTTAAGTCCTGAGCAATGCACCATAGTCAAATTTAGGATAAGTGAAGTGGGAGGAAGTCAGCTGCAAAAGGGGAAATGGGAAGAGAGAGCCCATAGACCACAGACACATTTGTATGTTGCCAATTTAGGAAAGAATACATTTAGAAGTATGGAAGTTTATTCCTTAAAAAGATCTCAGCTAACATGCCCACTGGAAAATCTTCATATACCACCCCTTAGTGTGTATGTCCCAGTTTAAAACAAACAAAAAAACCCTAGAGTAATATTTAAATCAGTAATCTTTAAATTATTGTATGTAGTTTTTCCATCAGGATGCATATAATAAATGTACTTGTTTTATATCTAGTGTTTTAGCAAATCAGTACTAATATGGTGGAATGGGTAACACTCTTCTCCTCCTTATCCCCTCTACAACTAAAGAAAAGGATCACTTAGTAAATGGTACTAATAGTTTAGATTACACATTGAATTCTACTGTCTTTTGCTAGAAGCTTAACTTTTTACGGGGCCCTAGAATGCCTTTAGTTCTAAATTAATCTTGGCAAAATATTTCATTTAATTGTGATATGATATGAATATTTTATAAAGTGCTATCCTACTTAAAGCAAATATATAATTCAAGAAAAAGCAAAATTTAGTATACTAAGGAATTTTGCCAAAGTGTTTTAAAGAGGAGAGCCAATGAGTTGGGGAGCTACTGAGTCCTTGGTTCTTTACCTACCATGGTAGGAAGCCTAAGGGCCTTTGGAGCCAATACCAGCAAACCACTTCTGCAGAGGTCTGGCCTCAGGGCAAGGATCTTTCTGTACCACATGTTCTAAAGCTTGTGCTGGCCACATATATTTAGACAGTTTTTAACCTAGGTTCCACTATTATTGTCAAGTTGGTTTTAAATAGAAATCTTCCTTTCTTTCTCAAATATGTACATGATTGATGCAGAATTCTATAAGAAATGAGAAATCCACACAGTAACCTTTACACATTTTCATGGCTGGCAAAATCCTTAGGGAACTTCTGTGTTATTCAATTTGTCAAGGCAATTCCTGTGTGGCAAACCATGTTTTCCATTCTCAATCCTTTACTTGCTCTCTGAATGGTGAGAAACTGACACTCACAGATAGACTAAAAGTTAAATAAGTGATTAAGTGATTGAATGGATGAATGAAAACCTATTAAATGCAAAGCATCTAGCCAAATTCCTCTGGGTTAAGCAAGTTTAGTCCTCCTCTCAAGGAGCAGATTATTCCTTCATTTCCTTTCCTTTATATTCCCCTGAATTTGTCTGCAGGCAATTGTCCAGTAATTCTAAAAACTCCTTGAAATGACTAAAACAGTAAAGCTGAGACATGACAGACTGCTGGAGAGCTAGACTTGGGGTGAGCAATGCTGAAATCACCATGAACTGCTCTCAGGGTCTCAGGAAAAGGGCGAGGCAAGAGCAACTAGGCCTATGGCCCTCAATTGCCTGAATTATGCAATACTCTGATTTAGCAAGAGCAGAGGGGATGGTAGAAGGGGAGAGGTGAAACAGAGAGGAGATGAGATATAAGGCAACCAAGTTAACTGATTACACAGCTCAGGATTTCTCTTTAAATGTTAGGCTCCCATAAGGACAAATTCCACTCCATCTGTTACTAACACCAAATGAGAATAAATGTAGTCCCCCACCCTCAAAGATATAATGGTTTCTTTGAAAGTGGCGAATTTAGTTTAATCTCTAAACTTTCCCTTCTATCAACACTGGATATTGTTAAAAATGTATTTTATGATTATGTTTTCAGAAATTTTTTACACCTTTTAACCAGAATGAGTTTTATGTCAAGAGCTGCTAAAGGGCTCCCTAGACTTGATCTTCTGTCTAAAGTGTAAGCTTTTATACTCTACAAAGGAAATGATGTCGTCAGACCTATGCACATGACTTTGTGACTAGAAGGAGGTCAAGGATTCACAGTTAGTTAGCTGTTAATTGCAAGCCCAGTAGCTATTTCCCTCTCTCCTTGTAAAGGGAACTCTAATTTGTTTTAGTGTCCTTCAGCACAGCTGACTTGACCTAGCTCAGGCATACATCTCTGGTCTAAGTCACTCACAGCAGTCTCTCTCCTCTTGCCTGCTATGGGTTTTGTCATGAGCATCTGACACAGATGTGGTCAAGGAGTTAAGACAGAAGCCAGGTTAAGTCTTCCAGGAAAGGTTTCCTTACTCAAAAATAATGTCACAATGAAGACACAATCCACTTGTCCTGCTGGATGTTGTGATGGTACATGATAGCTCTTACTTATGCCATCATTGTGCATCTATGTGGGGAACTAGCCTGAGTATACAGCTAAGACACTGAGCATGGCAGGGTAGAAGACAGAAAGAATTTGGATCTTTGACAAGGCATTGAGATGCTGAATTAAATAATCCAGGCACTGTCTTATCTTGCCCCTTCTTCTTGTGCCCTTAGTATTTAAACCTTCTGTGGTGGTTTTAAAATATGTCCACAATTCTTTGATTCTCTTTCCTGTAAGAGATGAAACCTAATTCCCCTACCTTGAGTATGATTTAGTGGATTTAGCTAGATTGAGTGACTCACTTCTCACAAGCAGAATAAAGTAGAAGTGATGGTATGCAACTGCAGAGGCTAAGCCATAAAGGCAGTGTGGCTTCCTCTTTAGTCACTTTCTCCTGGATTACCCAGACTGGTTGAAGCTAGCTGTCATGTCATGAGGACACCCAAACAACCTAAGGCGAGGCCCACATGGTGTGGAGTTTAGTTGGTCACCTGCCAATCGATAGTAGGTCAGTCATACTGGAAGCCGACCTTCCAGCCTAAGTCAAGACTTCAGATGATTGCAGTCTCTGCCTACATTCTGACTACAACATCATAAGAGACTTAGAACAACCCAGCTAAGCCACTCCAGAATTTCTGACTTGTAGGAACTGTGAGATAATATATATTTGTTGTTTTAACTCATTAAGTTTTGGGGACATTTGTTATGCAGCAGTAGATAACTAAAACAATTTCTAAGATTGGATTCTCTGACCTTCTCAAACAAAGGCATAGTAATTGATAAAATGTTCTAAAAGATTGCATCCTAAAACCAGAGAATTACAGGTTCCTCCATGGGTCTTCTGGTTCATTCTCTCTTTTTTTGAAAGATTGCGTAATGCTCTTTGAGATAAATAGATATCTTTCTCATTAGGCCTTCCGAAAAAGGAGACAACAGTTGTTCCAGGGCATTACTTTCACAACCATCTGGTGAGAGGCTGAAATCACTCTGGTTATGATTAAACCAATTGCATCTCATTGTATCCTTAGAATAGTGTTTCCCAAACTTTCTTACAGAAAAAGTATCCTGAATGATACTAACTGATATTCTACAAAAAGAGTGGGGGAGACTTTGAGTTTTAAAATAAAAATAAAGCATATTAAAGACCGTGGAGACTTTTTGCAAAAAAAAAAAAAAAAGAAAAGAAAAAGAGAAAATCTGTTTAATTTTTGTGTAACTTAGAATTTCTCAAAGGCAGGGTAACTATAGATGGTCCCCTCCATGCTCCTTTCCTCCAATAAAAATACCTATGAGCATTTCTTGGGGCATAAATGTTGTACCAAACACATGGAAATATGGGTGTGGATGAGAAAGAGCTCATCACAATATACACTGAATGGAATGTATTAACATGAATGATCAAAATAATCCAAAACACTATACTCAAAATAACATAGCCATCCCACAGTTATACAGTCACATTCATTATCTGAGTAATCCACAGCATCTAAGTTTAGACTTAGATCTTGAGTCAGAAATAGTACAAGAATTATCAATGTGCAGTTAGTAGCAAGTAGGACTCATATACATTTATTCAAAAAGATCAGGACTTGTCTTCAAAACTCCAGACATATAGATTAGTTTCTTGTTTCCTATTAAACAACAACATTTTGCCCCCTCCTTTTAAAATGTTTATTTTATTACTGCAGGAAAATGTTTCATCTGAAACATTTGGTATAAATAAAAAACTTACAGAGATTTCTTAAATATTGATATCTGGTATATAAGACCCTGAATTAGCATGCCTCTGCCAACTAAAAGGTCACGTAATTCACCTATGATTCATACTGCCGCGGAAGCCAAAGCCCTCTTGACTGGTAGTGCCTTGGCAACAGAATCCCTGGATTCTATCATGTTAAGCCCGAAAGTCAAGTGAGTGAAGCCCCACACTCCTACAGTGAGTAGGAAGACCACTCACAGCAGTTGATTAGGACTTACCCTAACCAGACAAGGTCCCATAAAGGAAACGGTTCTGTCCTGGAGCTGGGCCAAGTTTGACATGCCCAGAATAAAAAGATCCTTCAGAGAGGGAGCTTTGAGGAGGTAATAATTGCCTCTAACTCCTCCTTAGCATTATAACTTTGAAAGAATTTTTTTGACTCTTAAAATCAAACCACGTTAAACCACCCTTTAAGACTTCAGCAGAAATGTGATCTATGGGAACAAATGTATGCAATTGGATATATAAGGAACCCCAATTTCTCTCTCCATGCCTATGGTTCTCTGTCTTTGATTCCTGCTGTTTTCACTTTGTCTGCCACCCGGGAAAGGAGGCTGCTTTTATAACTGTGGTTCAAATGAGGACACAGATTATTTTCCTTAGTCAGTATCCTTAGTAGGAAGGAGACATGCTGTCATTTAGGTATTTGTTATCTTAAAAGGGATCTCCAAAAGAAAATAAATGGAATTATGGAATAATTTTTCAGTGGTCAAATTTTAGAAGATGGGATTCTAATACTATAACAATTGCACCTTGGCCCTAGTGGCAGGTAAATCTGTTTGGACTCCTTTTTGGCTTATTAGCTCATTGCCCATACCCCTTTATTGAGAGACAGAGGAAGTATTGCCATCCAAGCCAAGGACAGAATGACTACATTTCTTCTCACTCAGACCCATCACTCCCCAAACTTTCAAATTCCAGTTTTTCCCTGATATGAGGGATTTCTTGTCTACAGCTTTCCCAATTTCCCATATCCAATTCATCAGCAAGTCTGAGAAGGGTATCACTGAGTCCCAGAATTTCTATGAACGAAAGAATACCTGAAGAATTCTTTTTGCTCTACTTGAAAGAAAGTCTATACTGTAGACTGCATTTATAAAGAGAACCCACAGCTACTAACCCAGAAGCTAGGGAGGACTTAGATAGTCGCAGAAACCAGAAAGGGTCTGTAACCAAAATGCAGGTTCAGTTGCTCACCACTTGCAGAATTCAGCTAAAAAGAGCGAGGTTTGGTATAAAGAAGGTGACTTTATTCCAAAGCTTAGTTTAGGGGAAGAAGTACAGCCTCCTTCCTTTAAAGTACCATTTTCCTTTTGGGGACAGAAAGCAGAGGCTTTTAAAGGGGGACTTTGCACAAATAGTATGCAGAGGAGGGAATGAGCAGGTGCAGGGTCTACGTGGCTTGCTTTGGTGTCTTATCTACCAGATGGTTGAGCTGCCACCATCATGGGCAGACCTAGGTTGTAAGGTGAATGTTGTCTCAAGATACTCTCCAGGTGAGAGAGAGTTCCATTGCGGGCATACGTTGGGTTATAAATTGACTGTTGTCTCTTGGGGCAAGCTCCTGTTAGGAGAGATTTCTGACTCTTATGCTTCTAAGTAAGCATATAGTTGGATAGTTAGATAAGCTTACCATATAGGGAGTATCTGGTGAAGGGAAGGTAAAGGTTATAATTGCATTTCTAAAGAGCTAAGTAGGAAGTGGAAAATAGGGGAAGAGGAGGAAAGAGAAAAGAACATGAAAAGATAGTAATTAAAATAACTCATTTTCTTTCTCTTAGAAAAATGGGGATACTCAGTTACAGGTACACTGAGTGAAGCCACATAGGACCAGAAAAGAAAAATAGACTAGGCTCACTGAGTCTATTTGCTCCCTGGAGTTAAACATGAGCTGCTCAGAGAATTCTCCTTGACTCTCAGGAGGAATGTATGGCCGCAGTTCCATGTGGGGAATCAGCCTACATTACTTGCTGTCTTAAGCAATGAGTTGCTCAATACCCATTATCTGAGGCCCAACACAGGATTATCCCAGTGGGAAGCTCTGCTAACACAGGTGGCTGAGCAGCCTGGCGGCAACAAGCCTGTCCTGGAAATATGGAGAACCTCCTGGGAGAAGAGGCAGCAACCTCCAGGTGAGGGAGGCAATAATTCCAGCCAGACTTACCTACACAAATTTGGAGAGCCCACAGAGCCAGATGCTGCTTTGCCTATGGGAGCTACTGTCATGGAAGAACACATTCTGGATCCAGATCCGAAACATAGTAGGGTGGGTGGGGCAAGTGGGTAGAAGGGGTGTGGAAGGGCCATCAGGGAAAGAAATAGTACTTTTGTAGGATTAAAAGCTTTTAGTAACTATTTTTCTAGATAAGAAATGTAGATATACAGTACTTTTGAAAACTGGTAATTTCCCTCCAATATTTCCCCACTGTCTCCTTTGATACATTGCACTCAGAGCAGCCAAGCTGTGCTCATGATCACATGGGAGGGAGGTGACAATGGAAAGCAGATAAATGAACTATTGCAGCCAATTGATGAGCACAGAGAGAGGCTGTTTACTGAATGTAGGCAGATAGGACCTTACACAATATCCCAGAGATCAACTTACCCCAGCACGGCTTGGACTTAGCAGAGAGGACCAATGGACCTGAAGGGCCAGGCACAAAGAAACAGGAAATCTAAGCTTTGAACAACAGAGACCAAGGACTGAGGACTAGAGGGGAGGATGTACCCCTGCAGGGAGGCATGCTACAGAACACAGAACAAATGAAGTCTTACTCCTTTCTACACTGTGGCACTTACTACACAGGTACTTTGAAATTTAGCTATAACTCCAGGGAGAAGGCAGAGATAAAGGCAGCTTGATCAAGTTTCCACTTTTCCAATAAGAATAAAATAAAAATTAAGTTTGAATATAGACAAAAATAAGGGCATAACTGGTTTGGGATAAGATTATCCCTGCAACAATCACATTAAAATAGAGTAAAATTGTAACGTCCACTCCTCTTTCAGAAATGTAAAATGCACATCTTAGAATAGAGGAATACCATCCCCTTTCTATCATTTTAATGGTATGCCCCAGGCTTTAGTACCACACCTTGATAGGAGGCTGTACTAGTTTTCTAGGGCTGCCATCACAAAGGACTACAAACCAAGTGGCTTTAAACAATAGAAATTTATTCTCCCATAGTTTTAGAGGCCAGAAGTCCAAAACTGAGGTGTTAACAGGGCCATGCTCTCTCTGAAGGCTCTAGGAGGGAATGCTTCCTTGCCTCTTCCTAGCTTCTTATGGTTGCTGGGATCCTCGGTGCCCCATGGCTTGTAGATGAGTCACTCTAATCTCTGCCTTTGTCTTCCCATGGTGTTCTCCCCTGTGTCTTTGTTTCTGTGTGGTTTTTTCCTCTTCTTATAAAGACATCAATCCTATCCGATTAAGGGCATGATATGGTTCGGCTCTGTGTTGCCACCCAAATCTCTTCTGGAATGGTAATTCCCATAATTTTGTGTTGAGGGAGAGACCTGGTGGGAGGTGGCTGGATTATGGGGGCAGTTTCCCCCATGCTGTTCTCATGATAGTGAGTTCTCACAAGATCTGATGGTTTTATAAGTGTGTGACAGTTCCTCCTTCACACACTCTCTCTTTCCTGCTGCTATGTAAGACGTGCCTTGCTTCCCCTTCACCTTTCACCATAATCGTCAGTTTCCTGAGACCTATCCAGCCATGTGGAATTATGAGTCAATTAAACCTCTTTTGTTTATAAATTACCCAGTCTCAGGTAGTTTCTTAATAGTAGTGTAAAAATGGACTAATACAGGGCCCATCCTATCCCAGTATGACCTCATCTTAAATATTTATATCTGCAACAATCCTATTTCCAGATAAATTCACATTCTGAGATTCTGAGGACATGTATTTTAGTGTAACAGTATTCAACCCTGTACAAAGGCTGTCGCTACTCTCCCACACAGTTGTCCCAAATGCATGACTACAATCTCCTTGATTCCCTACAGAGAGAACAGAAACCAAATGGAAACTTGACAATTTCTTTTTACTAAAGGTGCACAGAAAAGTAATCGTAACACAGCAAAGAAAATGAGTTAGAACTGTACTAATAATGCCTACTTTCTGAGTGGGCAGCTCTAGGCCATCTAGGTGTTTGTCTAACACAAGGTGCTATTTTCATGCGCAAGAACCGAATTATTCTCACTCATGGAAGTGTTTTTGACTCTGTGTCCTTGGACAGTGGGCTCTCCTAAGGCCCCCAGAGAAGCATTTCTCCTTCACTACGGTCCAGCATCTGTCTCCCTGACTTCATTTCCTGCCCTGGGATTAATTTCTTTACAATTGACAATAGGAATGGCCACTCCCTTCAGGAGAACAGCACCTTTCACCTTCAGAGGAGAGGGATCTTACCTAACAAATAATTCACAACATAATCAGAGAAGAGCTTAACAGTTAAACTTCAGTACATTCTGAGGTTTTCAGTTTTAAATGATGCCAAAAGCAAAAACTGGACTTTACTGAGAAAGTGTAGCAGATAAGTGTAACACCCTAGAGTCCAGGGGTCATAACTGTCTTTCTCACTGGAATAACTTCCAAGATTAGCAGAATCCTGCACGTAGTATTCAAGCATGATTCACTAAATGGACAAATCAAACTTGAATTGTTCAAGACTTTTGAATGCTTTTTAATGGTCTCTTTCCAAGTATGAAGTAAAGATTATTCCCGTTGTATTTTTCAAATACTAATTTTCTATATACAGCTCTCAACACTTACCTCCTCTCTTCCCTGAACTTGCAGCTATCTAACTGCATACAGAGAAAAGGAGCATTAACATCCTCCCTTCTGATAGTGCAACAAAGTTTGAAGAGACACAATCCTGGTTAAAGTATAAAACAACCATGTCAATTACAAAATAGAACCTTCAGGTAGAAAGGACCCATCTATTTTCCCCAAAGGAAAAATCTGCCCCAAGTCCCCAACTCCTTTGAACTCCTTTAAAGGGTACTTTTCCAGGCTTCTCTACTTCTCATTCTTGTACCAGATCCTTCCCTCTTCCTGTCCCACCAGGTAACTCAGCATTTGAGTGGGCAGCAGCCTGTCACCCACATAATCTCACAGGGTACTGGACCCAACAGTCCATGACTCCAATTTACCTGGTCACCTGATTCAAAGTTAGGTTGGCCAAAGCTGACCTCCAACTTATGCCTGCTCTTGACTTCTTAGTCCTCTCCAAATTCTCCTTGTGCTGACGTTTGCACCCATTTCTGCCTGCTCTGTCTTGCTCTTGTAATCTAACCTCAGTGTCTGCCTCTCTGCCTTGACTCCATTCTGGCTCAGCTTTCCCTCAGGGTTTCCTCTGGCCCTGTGTCCATCCAGTCCTTCTAAGATTACCAGTGACTCCAGCTTTGGTCTATGAGTTCTCATAGTAACACACTCTTCCTGGCCATGCTCACCCAGGGCACTGGACTTCTGCCCCCTGCTGCACTCCTCTCTGGGAGCTCCATTCCCTCACTCATAGTTTGTTTCTGTTATACAAAGGCTGATTCTTACTTTCCTTTTCCAGTTATCCTATCTATTTAATAAAGTCATCAGATGGATCACCAAATTACTGAACACAATTTAGATAAACATTTTATAAGCCAAAACTACCCAGATTTATTGTCAACAATTGCATCCTATTTTTATTTTATTTCATGATAAGAGTATGCTCCTCAATTTAAAATCAATCTTTGCATCCAGGCAAGTGAAACTTAAACTAAAATTTCAAGATTCATTTTCTCCTTGAGAAAAATCAGTATGGTGTAATGGCTGATGGTATCAGAGTATGGACTCTGTAGGCAGATGACATGGCCTAGTTTGCATTTCAGATCGGTCACTTACTGTATGTGTGACCTCTAGAACAAGTTACCGAACCTATGCCGGGGATAATATCATGTTGGGGATAATATCATTTCCAACCTCAAAGGCCTATTGTAAACTTTAAATGCCTTCGTACGTGTAAAGTACTGGGAACAGAACTTAGGGCATAAAAAGCTGGTGAATACTAGCTACCATTATTGTTCTTGATCAACAGCTTAGTATACTGCAGTCAGCAGCTCAGAGATCACCCATGAACTCTAACAACACTCTCAAAACCTTTTGACAAGCAATTAAGATAGATAATGACTACTTTGTAACAAACATAAAGTAGTTTTCTTACTGGATGAAAAGAATGTAACCCTGCCATTATGGCTTGTAGTAGCTGGAAAAGCAACCTGGATCAGTCCATCGATTACTGGAGAGACTCTGATCTTACTTAGTATCTTACTCATAATCTATCTAGGATAGACTCACAGATAGATTTTTTGTTGCTGTTAATCATGCCTAGAAATTACCGTCCCCCTTGCTCTTGGTCTTCCTTCCTTTTTCTACCCTCTCCCTACGACTACTTTTATTCCTGACAAACAGTCCATGGAGCCTCACATCTTCCAGCATGGAACACCTCCTAGCAAATGAACCACATTCCTTTACAAGACTCATTACTTCTCACAGCAAACATCTGATGCAAAAAGTAGGCTCAAGGGGCAGAGATTCTGATCCTGTCTCCTCTGGAATGATGGAGTAGGAAAAATACAAGGAGCTATCATTTCTGGCAGAGCCAGGACATCATAACCAAAGCATCAATTTCCCTTTTAAAGATACTTTAGAGCAATCAGCATTTTTTCCCAGACATTACAGTCTGGGAAATCCTCATTATTTGTGGATTCCATATTTGGGAAGTTGCCTACTCACTTAAATTTATTTGTAACCCTGAAATCAGTATTTGCAGCATGTCTGTGATCATTAGTGGTCATTAGCACAGTGTGGCAAAAAAAAATTCGAGTTGCCGCACGTGCAAGTGCACAGCTGAGGTCAAACAAGGCAATATTCTACCTCTTTGTTTCAGCTCTTACCGTAAACAAGTGTCCTTTTCATGATCTATTTAGTACCACGTTATTTGAATTTTTGTGCTTTTTGTTGGTGATTTTGCTGTTTAAAATGGTCCCCAAGTGTAATACAGAAACTCTATCTAGTGTTCCTGAGCACAAGAGGGCTGCTATGTGCCTTATGGAGAAAATGGATAAGCTTCATCCATGCTGTTGGCCATGAGTCCAAAGTTAATGAATCAATGATACATATTAAATACGTTATCTTTAAAAAGAAACACATATAAGACAAGGTTATGTTTTGATCAGCTGACAAAAATACTGTTATCACAGGCTTATAGGAATCTGACTCTTTATTTCCTGTGGGAGTAATCATTCAATGTTCAATTAACTTGGCGTTCATGGAAACTTTACAGATTTACAGTGAAGAAGAAGAATCAAGTGTACATCCCAATCTGAATTACTGCATTCAAAGAAAAATTACCACTGCTAGCCACTCTACAAGAATAGCACAGTAAGTTGTCAAAACAAAACTATTCCTTCAATTTACTCCTTACATAAAGGGAAACACTGTGATAGCCTTTTGTGATAAATAAAGATGCCTAATATACCTTACCTGAAAAAAGACTACGAAATACCAAAAACAAAATATAGTTTAAGGATAGGGATAAAAGATAAAACAAAAACAGTTCTTGAAATACTGTTCCCTCTCTTTTCTACCTACTGATTATCAAAGTACAGTTCAGAAGACAACCAGGAAGTTGTTGCCTTCTCTCTGCTACTCCAAACTACAGCAGACATGAAGTCGTACTGGCAAGGAGATCAAAGTGTCTGTCTGTCTGCCATGTTCCAGGTCCACAGAAAGAGAATTCAGTAGACACATATCTCCCATCCCTTCCAACTGGCAAAAACGTTGGAGAGAAGAGCTAAAGTAGGCATGCCTTTCTCTACCACACACCACTCATCACCCAACTACTCTGTCCTAGTGGAGGGGAGTCACAATTATAGGGATGGGCCCCGACTCTGAAGACAGAGAAGAGAGGCAGGTGACCTCATGCAAACATTAGGAGTACCCAGGTCCACCCTCACTTCTGAAACCTAATGCAAGTTTGGAGTTGCCCAAGGCCACTCTCACTTCTGGTACTCACTGCAAGTTTGAGGGTCCCTGAGACCACACTCATGCCCCAAAATTCACTAGAAGGACTCAGAGGACACAATAAAACCATTATACTTTTGGTTATAGTACAGTGAAAGGATACAGATTAAAAATCAGCCAAAGGGAGAGGCACATAGGGCAAGGTCGAGATTTCTGGGTATGGATATGTCATATAATGTCTTCAATAAGTCTTCAGTAAAATCCACAAAGTACATTTATGTTTTATAAAACACATTTCTTTTTTGGGGTAGGGAGCAAACCCTGATTCTTGCTTTAAGGTTGTTGCTGGGAGAAACCACAGAATAACTATGGGATCCCAGAAATCTCTGGGTTACCAAGAAATAAATGGACATCAAACTTTTCTTTCACAAAGGAATTGTAAATAGGCATTCAATTGCAAAGGAAGAAACTGATGAAGATCATATGGGAAGTTATTAATCAGTCATTTTTCTGGTTATTTAATTATCTTGTTATAATCTAGAGTATAAAACCTGGGTGAAAGCCCAACATCACACCTTTTTGTTTTAGTTTGCTCAAGCTGCCATTACAAAGTACCACAGACTGAGTGGCTTACACAACAGAAATTTATTTCTTATAGTTCTGGAGGCTACAATTCCAAGATCAAGGTGTCAGCAGAATTGATTTCTTCTGAGGCCTCTCTCATTGGCTTGTAGATGGCTGTCTTCTCCACATCTTCACATGGTCTTTCCTCTGTACCTGTTTGTGTCCTCCTCTGCGCACTGTAAACAGTGTGCAGTAAACTGCACTGTAACAGGCTCTGTAAACAGCCTGTCTCCAAATAGAGTCACATTCTGAAGTATTAGGGGGTTAGGATTTTAACATATAAATTTTGGGGATGACATAGTTCTGCTCCTAACACTTTTACATTTGATGAATGCAAGCCTATTATTAATATTAGCATTTCAGACAGGACATCTAGGAATGGGATTGATAATAAAAGCTTCAATGTTTCTGGACCAGAGCATGCCATATCTGTTTTAAAACCAATTGAGAGGCTGACCTAACATAATCCCACCAAAGGAATGTAAATCTACATTCTGTTATCCTCTAAATAGATTCTAGCTTATTTACAACTATGTCTTCCTTCCTAGACATGTCTATGTGTTATATCACCACAATAATATACTCACTACTTCTTAGCCTGCATTTTTAACACCGTGTGTGGACTCTGAATTAGATTTTTGGTAAATTCAGTACAACATTTTGTAGGATAGCAGAACTAATTTTTGTTTTGTTTTGCTTTTGTGGTAAGAGTACTTGTCTCAAAGATCGATTCCATGAGACATCATTTTATTACCATAAAAACAGTTATATTAACTTAGCTTCACAAAAGTTATTTTCTTATGGTAACCATCTTAGCAAACATTGTTAGCCAGGATTTAATTGCTATTTGTTAATAAAATTTCAATCCTGATGCTTACCATAAAATGTTTATATTTTTTAATATTTTTATTTCGAATGACACCAAATAACACTAAAATAAAAATGATTCATATTCTGAATTTTCTCACTTAAAAAAATCTCATGAGAGTCGCCTTTCCATCTGAAAAGTGAAAGTCATGGTCACATGTGATGCAGTCATTGCTTTGGTTCCCTGGTGCGGCTTAAAAACAGTCCCTAAAATAGGCGCTTTTGCTCTTCCTGGTGTCTTGCCTGCATCATACTAACTACATCTGCAACATTGCAGGTGTCTTTTTTTCATTGCAAAGCAGTTTGTGCTATCAAATAGCAGCAAGTGTGACTCAAGACTGAAAATCAGGGACAGGGTACAAAATAATTGCAAAGAAATCTGAAATGATATAGAAGTTGATATTCTTCTTTAAAGACTTCTAAAGCACTAGTTTTAAAAAAAAACAGCATCAGATAATGATACTAAAAAACCCTTGAAAATAGAGTTTTATACTCCAGATTTGGTCAAAATATTTTACTGTCATCACCCATATAATTAAGAGGCTGTACATAAAAGAGATTAAGAACATGGACTCAAAAGTCAGAATGCCTGAGGTCAAATCCTGTATTCATCTCATAGTAGTAGTCAACACTAGGCAAGTTACTGGAACTGTCCATTTCTCAGTTTCCTTGACTGTAAAATGTGACTAAGTCTAGTAATTATATTGTAAGGCTGTTTTGAAACTGAATCAGTTAAAGCACTAAGAACAGCATCTGGCACTAGGCAGCACTCAATAAATGGGGTTAAAAGTATTATCCTCTCCCCTTTCTCCCCTTTGATCTCCTATACATATGTGGCTCCCATCTCATCACTGCTGTCTCCTGTAGTCCTCTTTCCTTTTTTCCATTTTCAGCTTTCTAGGCAGCTATGACAACTGGCTCCTCTTTTGCATCTCCACTCTGTCCTCTGGCAAGTTCAATATTATATGAATAAAGCTGCCTGCTATTAGTCATTTCCATATTAATAATAGCTAACATTTTTGAGCATTCATCAGGTGCCGGTTATGCTGCCTATTGTGAAACACATTGAACTCCCTATACATCTTCTTGCCTGAACTCTCATAGGCACATACTGCCTTGATTTTCCTTGCCTTCTCTGTCTTGCTCTTAAATGCTGGGCTTCCTTGGCATTCCTTCCCCAGCCCTTTCTCATTCTATACACATTTCCCTGGGTGGTGAAGAGTCCATGTCATCAATTACAAACCAAATGATTACTCTTAAACCTATATCTCTAGCTTGAACTTCTACCCTGAGCTCCAGAACTTTGTATTATAGATGGGCACTGAAATCTCAACTTCGATGTCCCACTGCACTGCGAAGCCAGTGCAGACAAATCTGAATTCATTTTCATGCTGAAGCTATGCCTCTTTTTACATTTCTGTCTGAGGAAATACCCCTACCTCAATGGGTTAAATGCTGGATTTGCAGTGGTAAACAGCAAAAGCATAGGCTCTGCCCTCATGGAGCTTAGAGGGCATCCTCTTTCTAACTGGAGGATATAGTAGAGGAAACAAATAAATAAGCCATACTTAATTTTCTGTTTTGTGAATTGTTTCTTTGGATTTTTCCGATTAGCTCTTTATAAAACTGACAAACTCCTGGTCATATTTTGCTGCATATACTCTGTTCAGCAACTTACGTTTTTTGCATTCAAGAAAATTGTGATTTTTATGTGATCAACTCTAATGAGCTTTCCTTTTATGAGGTTTTCTATCGCTTCAAAGCTTAGAAATGTTTCTTCTATTGAGAGAGCTGATGAATATTCAAATTTGTACCCTAGTTTAATTTGTTTATGTTTCATTCTATCCCACCTAGAATTTGTTTTGATGAGATATCAGTGAAGTTTTATTTATGAAAATTTCCAAAAGTCTTCTTAGTATATTGGATGAGGGATGCCTACATGACATTCTCTTTTATTGCTGTAACATTTGAGACCACCAATTTTTGTTTTGAAATTTAAATCTTCCTTGGTTTATCAGTACAATTGTTAGGTTTCTTCCTACTTTTCGAACTTTGACACTTCTCTCCTGTACCTATTTTCTCATTCCTCTTTGTTCTTCCTCCATTTTTTTCTTTTTTGAGACAAGGTCTTGCTCTGTCACCCAAGTTAGAGTGCAGTGGTACAATCTTGGCTTACTGCAGCCTCAACCTCCTGGGCTCAGGCAATCCCTCCACCTAAGACTCCCAGGCAGCTGGGACCATAGGCATGTACCACCATGCCTGAATAATTTTTGTATTTTTTGTAGAGATGACGTCTTGCCATGTTGCCCAAGGTGGTCTTGAACTCCTGAGCTCAAGCAGTCCACAGCCTTGGGCTCCCAAAGTGCTGGGATTACAGGCATGGGCCATGACAACCAGCCTTCTTCTCTTTCCAATTTTATTTGTTTCCCACAGCTAAATTCTTGAATATCTGTTCTTAACTTGATTGGTTCTCTCTTGACTCAATTCTGGCCCACAGTATCAAAGATCACTTTGATTAGGATGACTTCAAGATTGGTATTTTCAGCAATGATGTCTGAGTTCCAAACCTGCTTCTTTGAGCCCCTGCTCAGACTCAGCAAGAACACAAATTAACCTAACCTACAGTCCCCTGCAGACTTCAGTTAGTTCATCCCCATCCTCATTTCTCTATTGATAATAAATTTTTGTTCCATCTGTGTTTTAGTCATAGGTGCTTAAAACCTCAGAATCATCTTCACCTCTCCTTTATCCCTAATATTTGATTAGTTAACAATTTCTACCTATGCTTCCCTTAAAGACTATTATTATTTGCACCTGTCCCTACATCTCTACTTCTAACAGATTAACATTCTAAGGTAACAATTCTTCCTTGAAGGTTTGGACAACACCCTAACCCCTCTTCACGCACTCACTTCATTCTTCATAGTTTATTACACATTTGTTATCATCCTAACTCTTATCATGCTATTTCCAAAATTTAAAAAATTAGGGTATAAATGATAAAGTCTAATGCTTTTATCCTAGTTTTCAAGGCTCCATATGAGTTGATCCTATTTGCTATAGTTTCTTATAAAGAACTTTTTTTTTATTATACTTTAAGTTTTAGGGTACATGTGCACAACGTGCAGGTTTGTTACATATGTATACATGTGCCATGTTGGTGTGCTGCACCCATTAACTCGTCATTTAACATTAGGTATATCTCCTAATGCTATCCCTCACCCCTCCCCCCACCCCACAACAGGCCCTGGTAGAACTTTTAAAGTAACAGGAGAAAGGAAGAGAAGAAAGGATAAAAAGGAAAAAGAAGAAAAAGGAAAAAGAAGAAAAAATGAAAAAGGAAAGAAGAAACAGAAGAAAAGAGGAAAGTCAGAAAGAATACAAGGGTTTGTTTTGTTGAAAGTGACATACTGTAATCTCAAAATAAATTAACCACAAAAATGAAATTGTTGACACAGAGAACTAGGAATGTAAGAACTGAATCTGGCTTTAGGATAGTTGGATCCAGGGTCTTACATGATATCATTAGGACACTATGTCTCTATTTCACAGCCCTTCACAGCCCTGTTTTTCCTCAGGATCTGCTTCATTCTCAATCAGAACGTTTGCAAAAAAAGAGGGAAGGTGATCACCAATTTAGCAAGCTCATTTAGACAGCATCAGCAAGTTTCTTACATTTACTGTAGATTGGCTCACCTTGGATCTTGTGCCCAACCCTAACCAATCACTGTAACCAAGGACAAGTTGTATATACAGTAAGCAGACCCAGGACACATTGCCATTCCCAAAGCTAAGGAGCATGTGAGCCCTACCTGACACAAATGGACTAAGAGTGGAAAAGAGGAGACTCTCCAAAGAGATTTTGATCACACACACACACACACACACACACACATAAGAAAATAAATTTGAACGAGCTAGTGAGCAGGATAATCTAATAATATAGAGTTGCCAATTCTGCTAATCATCCATTGGTGAGATTTTGTCAAGTTAATTCAATTTTATTTTTGCTTTAGTTTCTTTCTAAAAAAAAAAAAATGGGCATAGAATTTATGCCACCAGCTGCTCCCAAAAAACAAGATCCTCAAATGAACCTTAACAAAGTACTGCCAACATCACAAATGGCAAATGTTTGAAGTGTGGGCCCTACACTGAAGTTCTTCACAATGTTAATCTATACATGTATGAAGATTTTCATTTTAAAGCCTTTCATGTTAAATATTGTTTGATCTGAATAACAAAACCAGAAAATACAAAGTTTTTCATTTTATATATGATGCATTTGTTTTTCAGGCCACAGTAAAAGATAATCCCCTGAAAACTCCTTCTCATTTGTCACATGGGATTGGTCATTTCCTCCCCTCCTATTCTTATTCTTTCTAGTAAAGTCACATGTAAAGAAAGCCCAGGGACGTCCCTCAGTACAGCCTCTATCAGGGCCTCTTTTTAAGAGGCTGACACCCGTGTAGAGGGCATTGAATTTCCTCTTTACTTTTCTTTCCCAACAAAAAATAAATTCCTTTTGGCCCCAGGCCCACCACTACCTAAGCCTTCTAATTTGGGCAGAATTAGGCCAATCAGGAACCCTGCTAGGAGAAGATCAGGTCTATAATGTTACTGTTACAAGAGCAGCCACATCTTCCTCCAAAATTATCTCTGCTTCTTCCAGTTTTGTAGTCAACCAATTAGGAAACCAAAACCAACCAACCAAGAAAATATAATAATTCCTATAAATAATAAAAATAAGAATATACTAGTCTCCTCACAACTATTCCAATGTTTTTCTACAGCATAATTTAGTTAATGAGTTTTAACTCTCCTAGGACAATGGCTATTTGTAAGATTCCAAATCACAGTTTATACTTTTCACGTTCTTAACAAAAATAACTTTGACATTTTAAAAGGTATAAATTCAAAGAAATAATGTATAACTATAGAAGTCCCTATTTTTGTATCCACTCCTCCACAATATCTCATAGTTGTCTGTACACAGTAGCTACTTAAAAACGCTTTCTTAAGTAAAACATTGTCTTAGGAGATCCTACATACTAAACTTGCTAGAGAAAAAACCTTTTTGATTCAGATTTTATTAATTCAGATTCAATGTTCTTTCAATTAAGAACTGAACTAAATTATCTATCTTAGTACTATTAATAAGAAATATGACATAATAAATAATGGGTAATATTCAATTGTATTATATAAAGAGGGAGGGTATTTATTGACTTTGAAAAAGAGTTCATGTTTTTACATTTATATATAAATTGTATTATGCAATTATAATAGATACCATTTTTTGAGAGCTTATTGGAAGTGCAAGGAATTATGCTAATGCTAACTGCCTTAAATTTTATTAAATTATCACAACAAACCTATGAGGTAATGTAATCTGTTCTTTACAGACACAAAAACTAAATTAGAAAGAGAAATCATCCACGTGGTATCTATAGAGGTTCGAATACCTATAAATATTAGCCTATTAATTAATACTATACTCTTCCTCCTTCTAAGAGGTGAGTGCTCTTCAGAATGGCACATGAATGCAGTGATTTTAAATTCTTGTTGTACATAAAGTAGGACATCTTCGCAAGCAATATTTGATAGCATATTTTAGTTATCTTGTACATTAGAAAGTAATTAAACATATTCCTCCTTGATCTTACAAATGTCTTCCTCTGAGTTACTGAGACTCCTAGACTTCTCTGCCCCATTTACTACCAGTTAGCAAGTTCACACGCTATATTCTACACCTGTAAACCTCACTCACATTTCTCATAATTTCTAATCCAATCGTTGCTGCCACCTCAGTTTCCAAGAACCATATTAAATTATTTGAATATCTGTATTTGTTAGAAAATCCATTTGTTAGTCCCAATTTTTGAATAATAAAAAGAAATTGCTGTTGAAAGAGGTAGGAAACTAATCTTCCTGATAAATCCAGACATATTTAATTTCCCACAAAAGCCTCATTCTAGTAATTTCATCTTTCCTGTAATGCTATTTCCCTGGTGGAAAGATCAGGTCAACGTGTTCCACATTTTTGGACAGTTTTGTATTTTGGATCAGAAATGTATGGCAGCGAACAGCTGTGGAGAAAATAGACTGCAGTGTGCTGGATAAATGCTAGCCAAGTCTCACTGAAATGAATTCCCACTATTTTAGAAAAACAACCATGCAAACTATATGCCTCATGTCTTCATTGTAACTCAACTCTGGCCTATGCCATACATATAAGAGAAACACTTTGGCAGTATTTGGTTCTATATCAACTATCTACAGGCTAGAATCTATCCTGAATATTTCAATTCTATTGAGTTCAAAAATCATGTGTCTTATGTACCCAGTAGAGACAAAAACAAGAGCCCCTCCCTGACAACTGTGCCTAACGGCCATGCAAAAGTGAGTTGGTTGTCCAAGACATGCCTTTATGGAAAAAATTTCGAAACACCAGAACAAATCCAACACTTCTCTCTCCTGCCCTATCAGTCTGTCACCTTTCTCAAGCATAGAACAGCTCACTGTAAGTAGATGAAATGTTCCCAGCTGTGTCTGACTCATATCATGACTATGAGTCTTTCCAGTGTGGGAAAAATATGAACTTAATCAATTCCCCATGTATAAGGCATTTCCAATTTTTTCTCATCCTCTCTAGAGAACAAGAAAGTCACCTAACTTGAAGACTTGGTGACCAAAACTCATCCAGCAAAGATAAATAACAAAGAACAATATTGCTGATTAATCTCTTCCTAGGATGTACAAAGAGAAAACACAAGGAAAAACAATGAAACCATGGAACCTGAGCAAGAAAACTAAAGTCATAGTAAAGTAACTAAAGACAAATAAAGGAAAAAACAAAATGAAATTCTGGAAACCCTTTCTTTCTTTGTTTCCTCAACCAGCAATTTCCCATAGCAATCTATTCCAATCACAAATAATAATCCTGCTGGCCAACCAAGGCAATTAAAGCATATTTATTGTCCACCACAAATGCTGTCATGTTAAATATGCTATAAAATGGGCTGAAAACATGGAACATGTGGGCCACACCATTGAATGAGACAAAGAGTTGAGGTGATTGCAGCTTGCATCAACAGTGGGTCAAAAACTGCAGTCTAGTGCACAGGAAAAGACATTCAAAATTAAAAGCCCTAGGGATTTTTTTTTTTAAGTAAACAACAAAATTTTATTTGGAAAATTCCTTTCCTTACACATAATGAAATCCCATCAAATGATTTTATTTATTTTATTTGTTTGTTGTTCAATGATGTTTATGCTTTTTTTAAATATATTACTTTAAGTTCTGGGATACATGTGTAGAACATGCAGGTTTGTTACATAGGTATACATGTGCCATGGTGGTTTGCTGCACCCATCAACCTGTCATCTAGGTTGCCCTGGTGTGTGATGTTCCCCTCCCTGTGTCCATGTGTTCTCATTGTCCAGCTCCTACTTATGAGTGAGAACATGTGGTGTTTCGTTTTCTGTTTCTGTGTTAGTTTGCTGAAAATGATGGGTTCCAGCTTCATCCATGTCCCTGCAAAGGACATGAACTCATTCTTTTTTATGGCGGCATAGTATTCCATGGTGTATATGTGCCACATTTTCTTAATCCAGTCTATCATTGATGGGCATTTGGGTTGGTTCCCAGTCTTTGCTATTCTAAATAGTGCTGAAATAAACATACATGTGCACGTGTCTTTATGGTAGAATGATTTATAATCGTTTGGGTGTATACCCAGTAATGGGACTGCTGGGTCAAATGGTTATTTCTGGTTCTAGATCCTTGAGGAATTGCCATACTGTCTTCCACAATGGTTGAACTAATTTACACTCCCACCAACAGTGTAAAAGAGCTCCTTTTCGTCCACAGCCTTGCCAGCATCTGTTGTTTCCTGACTTTTTAATAATCACCATTCTAACTGGTGTGAGATGGTGGGTGTCTCACTGTGGTTTTGATTTGCATTTCTCTAATGACCAGTGACAGATATATAGACCAATGGAACAGAACTGAGACCTAAGAAATAACACCATACCATACGCCTACAACCATCTGATCTTCAACAAATCTGACAGAAACAAGCAATGGGGAAAGGATTCCCTATTTAATAAATGGTGCTGGGAAAACTAGCTAGCCATATACAGAAAACTGAAACTGGACCCCTTCCTTAAACCTTATACAAAAATTAACTCAAAATGGATTAAAGACTTAAATGTGAAACCCAAAACCTTAAAAACCCTGGGAGAAAACCTAGGCAATACCATTCAGGACATATGCATGGGCGAAGCCTTCATGACTAAAACACCAAAAGCAATGGCAACAAAGGCCAAAATTGACAAATGGGATTTAATCAAAGTAAAGAGCTTCTGCACGCAAAAGAAACTATCATCAGAGTGAACAGGCAACCTACAGAATGGGAGAAAAGTTTTGTAAGCTGCTCATCTGACAAAGGTCTAATATCCAGTATCTCCAGGGACTTAAACAAATTTACAAGAAAAAAAAAAAAAACCAGACAAGCTCATCAAAAAGTGGGCAAAGGATATGAACAGACACTTCTCAAAAGAAGACATTTCTGTGGCCAAAAAACACATGAAAAAAAGCTCATCATCACCCTAGGGACTTTTAAATCATAAAACATTTGAGACACAAAAAGGTCTAGGAAATAGTATGAGTACTGCTTTACTCACCATTTGTGCATCCTCCATGAGCTTAAGAAATAAAACCTTCAAAGTGCAATTGACGTCTCCTATTTGCCCTTCCCTGAGAGCACTATCCTTACTCTCTGCCATAGGTTAACACTATCCTGAATTTGGTGTTTGTCTTTCCCACAGATGTCTTTATACTTTTATTACATATGAATATCTCTGAAGACAATGTATATAATTGTTTCATATATTCTAAAACTTTAAATAAATTGTATCATGCTGTATGCATCCTTCTTGCTTTTTTACTTAACACTGTGTTTGCCACATTTATTTATAGTGCTATGGAGGGCTTCTGTTTACTCATTTATTATGCTATAGCACTGCACTGCACATATACATAACATCTCATTTATTCATTCTTCTAGTGGACACCTAGGTTTCTACTTTTTTCTATTACCAGCAATGTTGTTATGAACATTCTTATATATTTCTATTTATGTAGATGATTTAGTATTTTTTTTACAGCAGGGGTAAACGAACAATGCCTGTAGCCTAAATATGGCCCACCATCGGTTTTTGTAAATAAAGTTTTATTAGAACATAGCGGTGGTCATAGTGCTGATGGCTACTTTCATACTACTGTGGCAGAGTTGAGCAGTTATGACAGAGAATGTATAGCCCACAAAACTGAAAATATTTATTATTTGATCTTTTGCAGAAAAAGTTTGTCAACTTCTACTTTAGGGTATAAACTTAGCAGTCACATAGATGGGTTGAAGGCTCTATGAGTATTCAATTTTACCAAATGTTTCTAAATATTCTCTAAAGTAATGTACCAATTTTCATTCCCCTCAATAATATAAAAATATATTCATTCTCCTTGTTCCTCATGCTCACCAGCACTTAAAATCTCAAAAGTTTTAAAATCGTGTCCATTTATTTGTGGTTTCATTTTAAATATCCTAGAGTTGTTATAATGGTTTATATCCATGTTTGCGAGGTATGCCATATGTTTTCGGGTAATACTAGAAATAATAGAGCAATCATATAACTGTACCAAGATGAGGCTAAGGCACAAAAGTGGATACCTCCCCATTTGATTTCACTTAGAGCTCCTCTTTTCCAAACCCTATATCCTATTCTCTTTCCTGACACTCCTGTCCCAGGCAACTATCACTCAGAATCTCTGTCTGTATCATGTGGACAAAGTTCTTCTACAGTGCTTAATTTGCTGCCTGCAATATACGGCCTTCTACTCCTTCCCTTTCCCGACGAATCATACAACTAAGTGTTTTCCCAGAAGCCTTTGTCAAGTGGAGAAAAGAAATGAGAGGAAAGAAGCCCTGTCTTTTTCAACATGGGACACCTGGTCTCCACATTGCATCACCTAAGAGCCGTCTCTACCATCTACACCTAAGGCCAGCCAGTTAGGCAAGAATGAGAATACAGTCAAAGAAATAAGGATTCATCTGTGCCTTTGGATGCTCCCAGGGTGATGTTCCCTGTCAAGGTACATCTGGGATTATCTGGTTTTCATCATGCTCTTTGATGGAAAGAAATCTGCTTTTTATTTCTTCTTTATCTTGTGTTGGAATAGCAAGTGTTGATTGACCAGTCGAGGTTATTATTATTTATTTATTTGGTTATGGTAAGAGCAGTCCTCTTCCTTGTGGATATTTCTACAACTTTGACAAGTAAATGAGGCAAGGACGTAGCTGGAGATAGCAATAGGACAAGAAGTGAAGAAAGAATCTCCTGTGTGGCAGTTATTGGAACATACCCAGAGCATTGAAATCGCAGTTTATGCCTCTGTTTTACAGTAAAGGCTGTTGATCTAAGGAAATTTAAGGCATGGGGAACAGGATGAAAAAGAAGAGGGGGAAGTTGGTTGGATTGTATCAATGTCAATCTCTTGATTGTTATTGTCCTGTAGTTATGCAAGATGTTACCATTGGGGAAAGTATGTGAAGAATATATGGAATCTCTCTGTATTATAGCTTACAAAACAGATATATAAAAAATTAGAGAGTAGGAATGGGAATGTGAAAGGGAGGACTCTTCACTTTTTACTTGATACCTTGCTTGTACTGTTTTTACCACATGCATGCATTATTTGCATCATGAAGACATGAGTCCCTGCCTCATGTCCTCTAAGTCTTATCACATGTACCTGTCAAATTATGATAGTCTAACCTATACTTTGCTGCAGCTGAAATTACGCTTTTTATGATTAGATATCTTACTAAGTAGCCCTCTTCTTCAACTTTCTCTCATGTTGTTATTGTCTTCCTTCAGAATTATTTTCTTTCTTTTTTCTTTCAACCAATTTCCTTCAACCAATGCATCACCTTGCAGGGTGAATGATTTAGGAAGGCATAGGCTCAAAGCCCTGTCAAGCACAAACTTCTCAGATGGGCAGTGCACAAGCTGGTGCTGTGTGGCCATTGCAGCAAACATGGCAGTGGGCATGGGATATCTTGGGGCTGATTCAACAAGTTTCCTTTTGAACACTCTATGCCTGGGTTTAGAACCCTCTGAGGCTATAACTTTTTTTCCCAAAGACTTTTCTTCTGCATCACTGGCAACCTCCTCCTCTATTATCTTTCTTTTTTCTATGAGATTAGTCATCACCAAAAACTTCTTTCCAACTTTATCTGAACATTCTTTCATTCTTCAGGCATCATGAGTTCGTGCACTATTTACCGCAGGCCAACTCTGTAAGTTTAAGTAGTGAGAATACAAAAAATTTTAAAAAGACATGGTCCCTGCCCTCAAAAACCTCAGACACTTAGGTTACATTATGGAATGGAAAGAACGAGGATAGGAACCAAGTGTCCAGGAAGAATAGAACAGGGAACAATGAATTCTGCTTGGGAAAGAGGAGGAAAATTTCTTAGAAAGTGATATTTAAGTTGCATATTGACAAATAACAGTGAAAGGGGAGAAGAATCATCTCGGTTGAAGGACCAGTGTAGACAAAGAAAGGCACAACAATATGGAAATATGTAATATATTTAGGGAAGTGTATTGAAATAATTACCCCTGGGGATGATACATCCCAGTCTCACATCCTCAAAGTATCACCATGTGTACCTGAGGGAGTATCAGCATGTTTAACATGGGTTAGGGCCAGAGAGTAAGGTATATGCCTGCTAAGGAATTGTAACTTTATGTTCTAGGGCTCTGCAAATCTAACTTGAGGTAAAGTGAATTGACATTTAGCTTTCAGCCAAGCACATGATTAAGTCTCTCATGATCTATCTATATCTATATCTACATCTATCTATGGCCAAGATGGAAAAATATAGGCTCTGCAGTGGCATATTGGATGTCATGTGATCATCTTCAGATATTAGAAGAACTGTCAGGTGAAAGAGGGATTTTATATTTTATGCCCATATCCAGAGGAAAAGCTGGAATCAATAAATTAAAATTACAGGGAAGCAGATTACTTCTTTGGGTTAGAAAAAAAAGAGAAATTTCTAGGCAATGGCTAATAATTATGTTAATAGGAAAAGGAAATGCTTCACTGCACACATGTTCTTGGTTTGGCAGAGGTTGTCAATGTTATCATTGGTTTTACTAGTGATATGTTTTGGTTTGATTTTTCTGAGCTCCAAAAATTGTTAAAGAGTGGTACTTTTTTAGAACTCCAAATAGATGCATTTTGATACCATTGAAGTAACTTGCATTAACAAATTATAACTTCTCTCTACTTCAAAGTGCCCACTGTTAGATTGGAAAATAACATTTTCTCCTAAGCTCAAAAAATATTGATGTCAAAGGGGAAAAGAAATAAAGAGATAAAGAAGGGTAGGGAACAGAGATACAAAGCAGGAAGTAATAAATATGTAAAATAGAGAGTGACAGGTTCCCTTCATGCTACAGTGAGGACAGTGACTTAAAAGCAAAAACTATTACCATCAAGAAATGAAGAATGTAACTTCATTGAGAAGTCAACATTAAACAGTTTATTAAAAGTCTTTCTTTAAAAACAAAAATTTCCAAGCTGCTCTTTCAATGAAGATCAGCCTGAAAGGCATAAAACCCTTGTTGCACATGACTCATTGCTGGCTGCCAAGGAAGAATGCTAAAAAGAGCAGGATGGGAGTTTGTTAAATTAATAACTAAGAACAAACTAATTTTCCAATGAAGATGCATGAGGAAGAAGGCTAACTGAATTTTCTAGTGGGCCTGGTTGTTTGTTTTCACTAGAAAGAAGAACGTGTCTCCATTCGTTGATATTCTCTTCTACTATCAGACTTAAGCTATGCCTGCCTGACACAGAAACAGAAAGCAGAAGAATAAGTAAAAGGTTATGGTGAGAGCCAGCTCTCAGAGTTTCCTTCTCTCAGCCAGCATTTGTTGAGTACCATCTCAATACCTGGGATTATCACAGTATGTATGTATTCAAAGAGAAATATTATTCTTATGTGCCACCTCATCCTACAAAAAATGAGAAATTTTATAAAAATTCACACAATGCAGAAGTATAAAATTAATAGTTGAGTGAGTCAGCGAAAGAATCACATAAATGCAGGCCATCCAGGACCTTGTATCTATAGGTGTTAGATGTGAACAACAAATTTGGCCATAAACTACACAGGGGGCCAATACAGAAAAAAAAAAAACAAAAAACAAAAAACAAAAAAAAAAAACACATTCGGTTCTAAGACTTGTGATAAGAAAAACAACTTTTCCTTATACAGAGACCTGTAAGCAATTTCTTTCTGAGTCTGTGTAAGGGGAACTTCGTGGAGATTTTCAAGTCAAGATGACATTAAATACCGATTGAAATACTCGCTTCCACTCAAATAACTAGAAATACTAAGTAAAATGTGTTAAATTACACTTGTCTTTATGTACACAGCTTGAAAGAAAAGAATAATGAGAAATATCCAGGTGCCAGAAATGTCACGATTTTGAGCTAAAGTCTAGCAACCCACGGTGTAAGAGGCAGAGCATGGGAGTAGACAGAGCCAAAAGGTTTGGAGTTTCAACACTAACATAAGGGATGAGAGTTGGAACTAAAAATCTCATTCCTGTAGTGAAAAAAAAAAAAACAAAAACGTTGGGCTTCCTGTTTAAGAACAGGACCTGGAAAGCAAATCATTCACCTAACCCCTGATTGGATATAGTTTCCCATGTAATTCCAAAATTTATTCTGTCATATGATTTGGAGGGCTTGTTACCCTCTCTAAATCCAAAAAATCCAGAGCCGAAACACAAACCTAAGAAGTTGCCAAGGAACAGTGAGAGCCTCTACAGATTGGGTAGATACCACCATGATATCCTCAAAGGGAAACCTCTACAACCCAGGACAGACACAAGGGAGCTCAGAGACAGGAGAATTCTTCAGGAAAATGGGCTCACAGACAAGAATTGCAGAACATATGAGAATGTCTGCAGCAAGAAAATAAACAACAGACATAACTCACACCAACAGAAATAACAAAACAATAAGGGGATTTTAAAAGGTGTATATTTAAAGTCTTCAAAGACATGAAAAAATACTTTTTATGAAACCGACAGAGTTGTGAAATAGTATATTGATATTAAAAAGCTCAAAGAATTAAATACTAGATTAAAGCAATTGAAAAAATTAGTAAATTTGAAGAGACCTAAAAAAAATTTCCAAAATGAAAGACAAATTAGATTTTTTTTTAAATCAAGTGACATGAAGAATATAAACTTTAAAAAATTCTAAATAAAAATCATAAATATCTAAAAGGAATTACAGAAAGAGTAAAAACAATATTTTTTAAAAAGCTAGTGGTTGACAGTTATCCAGAAGTAAAGATGTGGGTCTTCATATTTAAAATGCCAATTAAGGCTGAGCGTGGTGGTTCATGCCTATAATCCCAGCACTTTGGGAGGTGGAGGCAGGTAGATCACTGGAGGCCATGAGTTTGAGATCAGCCTGGCCAATGTGGCGAAAACCCATCTCTACTAAAAATACAAAAGTTAGCCAGGCGTGGTGGTGTATGCCTGTAATCCCAGCTACTTGGGAGGCTGAGGCATGAGAACTGCTTGAACCTGGGAGATGGAGGTTGCAGTGAGCAGAGATTGCACCACTGCACTCCAGCCTGGATGACACAATGAGACCATGTCTCTAAATAAATAAATAAATAAATAAATAAATAAATAAAATGCCAGTTAAGTACAATGACATACAGTAGAGTGATATTTCAGAATATTAAAGTTATAGAGAAATATTACAATTGTCCAGAGAGGAAAGAAGAGACTGTTACTAATAAATAACAATTGCGAGGGAGGGAGGAGGCAAGGAGAGAAAGAAAAAGAAAGAAAGAGCAAAAGAGAGAGAGAGAGAAAATACACAAATTAAATATATCAGGAATTTAAAATGGTAATTAACATCAGTTATAATTGTGATTTGATAAAATAATAATCTTGGGCTATTTAATGGCAATAAATTTTTAAATTTGATAAAATGGGAAATTTTCTGGAAAATGTTAAATTTCATATACCTACCTATAAAATATTTTAAAAATCTCAATGGAGAGTCAATAAATATTAAACAAATTGAGCTAGTAGTTTTAAAAACCACCCCTCCCCAAAGACTCATAACCATATAGTTTTATAAAACTTAAAGGCACAAATAATACCTATCTTATATGAACTAGAAGGCATAGATAACCCCTATTTTATAACAACTCTTCCAAATAATAAAAAAGAAAATGTGTTATCTATGATATTAATATAATATTTACACCAAACCAAGATAGAGTACAAGAAAAGGATTTATAATCCATTTTCACTTATGAACATGAATGCAAAATTTTTAACTAAAATATGAGCTAAGCAAGTCCAACTTCATGTGTGTGTATATATATATACACACACACACACATATATATCTGTAATTTTATATATGTAAGGTATGTGTACAAAATACAACATAACCAGGTAAGTTAGGAAGTATAGTTCATCATTAGAAAGCCTATCAATGTAAATACATTAGGGAAAAATAGACACTTAAAAAGTCACAAGAAAAGCATTAAGGACAAGAAATATACATTTGACTACCTCAAAATTTAAATGATCATCTCAATAGATTAACGATGAACTTGATAAAAATGCAACAATACCCATTCATGATTAAAAGAAAGAAAAAAGCCCAGCAAAGTAGCACCAAAGGAGAACATGCTAAAGTGAAGCTTTCGAAAGCTAACAGCAAACACCTTATGAAATAACAAACTTTAGAAGCATTCCCATGAAAGCAAGAATAAGAGACATTATTTTTCATTATATCATAAAATTTATGTGTAAAAATAAGAAAACACTTTAACTCAAAAAAGAGTAATGTGATATATTCTATTTTATGTTTTATATCTATACTCTTAAATTGTTAAGAATTAAAACAGTTGATGAATTATAATACTATAATTTTAATTTTTCTAATTTACATAAATAAAGCTAATTGTCTTTATCCAGAAAAAAAATTGGACATAAATCCCATCTAATGCAATAAGAGAAACAAATGAGATATAAAGATGAGAAAAGAAGAAACAAAATTGTCACAATTCATAGTTGATAAAATTTACCACATAGAGAAATCCAAGGAAGGCAAAATGCAGTGTTTTAAAACTAAGAGGAAAATTCAGCAAAGTTTCTGGGCTCACAATTGATATTCATTCAAACATTTATACTTATTTTTACACTTAATAGCCAATTTAAAAAATTTCATTCAAAATATTAACAACTCAGAAGCACATAGTTTAATCTAAAATACACAAGATTTTTAGCTAAAATATGCACAAAGCTATTGAAGACATAAAGAAGAATTAAATAATTAGAAAAACAAAACATGTTCATGGATAAGATTCAACATTTAAAAAAAATTCTCTAAATAATTTATGATTTTATGCAATTCCAATCAAAAATTCCTATAAGAATTTGCAAAAACACAGACAAGCTGATTATAAAATTTACTTTATAAAGCTGTATGAATATCAAGAATTTTTTTAAGGATAACATTAGAAGTTTGTGCTACCACATAGCAAGACATCAAAAATAATTTAAACCATGTTATCTTCACAAGAATGTACAAATAAAGTAATGAGACAGAATAGATAGCCTTACGGTATATCACAAATCCCTGGGGAAGGACACTGTTCAATGCAGTACATTTGGTTTTCAGAAAGAAAAAAAAATTATATTTCTACCTCATACAAGAAAAAAATTAGATTGGTTAGGAAACTAAATGTGGGAATCAAAACTGCAAACCTATTAAAAGCATGAGTTAGGGTGGGAAAGGTTTTCTTAAGCAAGTTGCCAAAAAAAGCAAAAAGAAAGATAAATATATTTGACTATATAAAATGTACAATGGCTGAACATCAAAATATACTCTAACTTACTCTGTGAGTTCACTTATGTACATTTTTAAGTAAGCAAAATTAGTCTATGGTGATTGAAATCAGAATAGTGGTTAACTTTGAGGAAGGGGTAAGTGAGTAGTGATTAGAGAGGAGTATAAGGCAGCCTCTGGGGGCTGATGTTCTTTTTTCTGATCTGGGTGATTACACTTTCTGAAAATTCATCCAGCTGTATACATACATGTGTACTTTTCTATATGTACATTAGCTAAATTTAAAATTTAAGATAAACACAGATAGTCTAAACATGATTAAAAGGCAAACACAGCATTGAAGAGCGTTTAGATTAGATATAAAGAAAACTTAGTATCCAGAATATATATTTTTGTAAAACTTCAGAAAATCAAATTAAAACAATATACGATTTTTGACCTATGGTCAAAATTGACATGAACTTTTAAGACCTCAAATATCAACAGTTAAAGAATTATGAAAAATGGTATTTGTATATAAAGACATTGAAAAAATTACTAAGTTGAACACTTTAAGAAGCAATTTATCATCATTTCTATTAAAACTGAACATTTGTATTCCTTACAAACCAGCAATTCCACTGATGTATATACACCATACAGCATTAATTTTCAAGCTGTATATTGTGGCTCATGAAGAAGTTCATAAATCAACTTCATGTATTATATGTATTATACATTTATTATATGTATTATAACCAGGATTTTTTCATGAAATGAAAATAATAAAATAGTTGAGGTGGGAAAATACCAAAATACTGGTCCATGGACAGCTGCCAGTTTAAGACATGCTTATTACTAGCCCAAATGAAGAAATCAGAGTCAAGTTTTTCAAAAAACTAAATTTGTTAATTTAATTTTTTAAATTCTGAGATTGTCCTCACAACTTTTTGAGTATAAAAATAGCTCATTCTATTACAAATTATGTTGATTCTTAACACTGGCTGTGAGATTTTTAACATTCGCACCTAGCAAAATTAAAAATCAGAGAATCTGTGTGCATCTTCAATTGTTTTTCTGAAATCTCACTATATTCAACATCCCAAAGCCTGACTCACTACTTTATTCCATACCTCAGCTGTCCCAAGTAGGTCAAAGTCATAGATTGATCCTTTAAAATGGCATTAATCACTCACTCATTCTTTAACATATTTAATGGATTAATATGAAGGGGGTTGAGACACACTGATCAATTAGGTTGATTTAATTCCACAGAGAGGACTTGCAAAAATATGTGCCATTGTTAACAAGGGCATGCCAATAGAAATAGATGGATCTTTGTAAATCCATCATCACTGTGAAAAACAATCCAGGGGATAGGTCAAAAACCTCATCTCTGTTTGAATATAATAGTTCATGAGTACTGTATTAGGCAATCTGAGTAGGCAAGAATTTAGAAAATCAAAGGGCAGTAAAGGTCTAGAGCCCACTTGAATTGGCTCACTGGAGCAGTTGTGACAAATAGAAATGGAACAAGCTTGGTATTCTAACATGGGATTTACACTTAACTCTGACTCATTCTCATTGTATCTAAACTTAAGTTTACAGTCTAGAAATAGACGTCTATATATTGTCTAAAAGTTTAAATGCCTTGCAAGTTTTACATTAAAAATGTTAAGCAGTTAGGTATTTATAAAGCTGTAAAAGATGAAAAACTGATCCTTCAGTTATGTAAAGACTATAAAGTAATTTTAAAAAATCAATCTATGAGCCAAAATAACTTCCAACATTATGAAATATTTTTAAAACATTTATTGAGTCATAAAATGTTGACATGGTATGGCAAAAGTCCTGGCTTGGTCATATTTTAGATTTCTGCCCATTGACAAATTACTTTCCACTTCCAATGTCTGTAACATTTATCTTAACCCTTCCCACTTTGCAAGTGAAGAAGCTGAGGCCCAAAGAGGTGACAAGACTTTTCAAGGCCACATAAGTAGTTAGGCCAGAACGAAGGTTCCCTGGCTGTCAGTCCACTGATCCATGAGCTGCAGCACTTTGCTTCTCATGGATTATTTGTAAGCGGGACAGAAACTGAGCCCACTCAAGATGAGTACACCTTACCCACTCAGCCACCAGTGCCCAGTGGATTTAAGTCTGAAGAGGAAAATAAGTGTTAATAAGCAGCACAAAATGCAGTATTCTTGTCCAAAAAGAAGCAATAAGTGCCAAGTTCCATTCATCTGTGGTCCACTTAGCAGAGCTTCCTTAATTTGACAATAAAATAAAATAACATTTGATGTAAGACCGTTTTTCTCCCTGGCTTCCTTTAAATGGTAAAGACATGCTCTGAAAATATTCTAGTTTCATTTAAGACTGTTTTCTGTTCACTCAACTTCAAAGGGTTTTTATATGGTATTTTAGGATTATAAATTTTGCCATTTTTCTAAGAGGAAAAATACTTGCTTTTATTTACTCTACATTTATGGATTTCAAGTGACCCTATAGTTCCTGCATATAATGTCTTCCTGTTCTGAATCCTACACTTCAGGAAGACTTGAATATTACTGATTCCCTAATCTCTCCTGGTTTTATGAACTAGAGCTCCAAATATAAATGCCTTTAGAGACTAAGCAACAACATAAACACATGAAGTGACCATTTTGAGTGGTGAGGACTTAACAGGAGAGTTCACGCCATTTATTTTATTCTACCTGGATTTTGAAATCATGTAGAATTATAACAGAAGTATTGGGGAGAATGTCAGTGAGCAATTAGCTAAAAGCTTTGGAAGAAGGGAAGAAAAACTGAGATGATCATTTAAAAAGGGAAGTCCTGCTTTCTTTCAATTCAGGCTCCAGTCAAGTGTTGAGTGACAAATCCCAGAGGAGGAGGCAGGATTCGTGCTCTAGCAGCCTCCACAAGAACCAAGCTCAGGTTGCCTAAATAGTTCAGTGCTGTAAATAGTTCAGTTCCAGTACCATGGCTCTTTTATCCTAGCTTTGACCAATGATGACTACATTTTGTTTTTAATCACCTACAGTTCCTTTCCTATGCTTTATTTTGCCTGAGAAAATGCCTTTATTCATTAGTTTTAGCTAAGAATACATGATCCTAAACTTACATCATTAAAAAAAAATCACTGATGTAGATGACTGAGCCAAAAAGCAATAATAAAACTGAAGCACAAAGAGCACCCCTGGCATTCTCCAATCCCAAACCCCCATTCATCTACAAAAGGAGAGAAATCAGTATCACAGAAGAAATGTTCAAGCAGCTTTTCCTTTCTTAAATAGTTGTTTCCCTAAACTGTGCATCTAAATACCCAATTAATTTCTCAGACAGAATGATGGTGATAGATGTAGGAGGCAGAGAAATCCTAGGCAGACAGGGGCAGGTCCCCAGCAAAACCATATCCCTGAGCCAAAAAGCTTGAAACCCGCAGTCCAATCCCTGTTTGCCCACTCTCTCTCAGTTGATTATTTCTGAATAATGTCTTTTTGTTAATTGAATGTTGCCTTTTCCAAAATTACCTACGCCCTGCCCCATCCCCCATTCTGTGCCTATAAAGACCCAAGACTCAGTCGGTAGAGAGAGAAAGAAGTGGATTGACTGGAAAGAGATAACTTGACTTCAGAGGGACTGCTGGACTTTGGAGGAGAGATGGCTGGAGATGGCCAGACTTAAGGGAAGGTTATCTGCCTGTCTCATCCCTTCTCTAGCTCCCCTCTCCACTGACAGCCACTTCCATCACTAAATAAAATTCTCTACCTTCACCATCCTTCAAGTGTCCATGCAACTTCATCCTTTTTGGACGGCAGACAAGAGCTTGGGACCCAACATGTGTGGATACCCAAAAAAGGCTGTCACACTGGCCATTTGCCCTTGCTGGTGGAGGGCAGCCGCCCTGCGCAACGAGGCAAGGGGCCCACTGAGTGGATAACACATGGCTGTCCACAGACAGCAGAGCTAAGAGAGAAAAACCCTCTGGGGCTTCAGGGGTCACAGGCACCCCCAGCTGAGCAACGCCATGGGGCCTGCATGGAGCCTGCTCCTGCCAGCGCCCAAAGCAGCCAGCCAGATCTCATACTCGCTTGCTCACGTACTCCCTCACACAAGAGGTTGAGCGTGGTGGGCCAAGTAAATGGGGCACCCCCATTGCAAGTCCAACAATGGGGTCCAGAAAAACTCCTGCATCAAGCATCTCAGAGAAACTCTCTTGACCATAAGCTACAGGCCTTAGACCAAAATATAATTCCACCAAGAAAGCACAAAAAATATGTTTTTTAACTGGCCATTTAAACCAAGTTCAGAATGAGAAGAAATAGAGCAATTTGAGAACTGAGACAGTCAATTAAATGAGACTAAACTTCTCCCTGAAACCCTGCCCAGAGATGTATTTCAGGGCTTTCTACTAGCCATGCTGTTTTCATGGTTGTATTTACTGCAGAAGTTTCTGTGATCAATTTCACAAATTTCAAACAGTTTGTACTCAAGACCAGTAGTTTGTGAGCTTGAAAAAGGAAGAAAAGACAGAATGAATTGATAACTGATTAAAAAATAGAAAGTTACAGCAAGAAGGGACTCAGTTGGTTCAATTCTTCATTTTACAGGAACAGAAACTGAGCCTTTGGTAGTGCCATGGTCAAAACAAGAAAAATGTGAGTGGTGATCTTGATTTTAATTTTTTTCTAACTTCATATCCACTTCTTTTTCTACCACTCAACACTGCCTGTGTTGGTAAGGACTTTTTAAAAAATTCTATTGAAGTAATACCAATGTGCACATAGAAGAGCAATTAAACAGATATACATTTTAAAAGTTAATAATAATAATGCAAGCACTTGTGAAATCACCAGCCAAATAAAGAATGAGAATATTGTTAGTCCCAGGGAAACCTTCACATGCCACTCCTTTTTGTACCTCCTTCTTCCCTCTAGGGTAAATCGTTCTCTTATGTATGTAATAGCCGTTCCCTTGCTTAATAGTTTTACTACTTATTCCCCAAGAATGTATTTTCTAATTTTTGCTTATTAAATAGAATCACATCATATGTAAACTTTTTATCTGACATCTTTCATTTAACATATATTTTGAGATTTAACAAAGTTGATGTATAGAGCTATAATTTGTTCATGTCATTGCTGTATAATATTCCACATATTTCATATATGTAAATATACCATATTTTAGTCATGTATTCCACTGTTTTGGGGGGGTTTTCTTTGAGACAGAGTCTCACTCTGTCACCCAGGCTGGAGTTCAGTGGCACCATCTGGGCTCACTGCAACCTCGCCTCCTGTGTTCAAGCAATCCTCCTGCCTCAGCCACCTGAGAAGCTAGGATTACAGGTGTGTGCCACCATGCCTGGCTAAAAATTTTTGTATATTTAGTAGAGGTGGGGTTTGCCCATGTTGGCCAGGCTGGTCTAGTACTCCTGGCCTCAAGTGATCCACCTGCCTCAGCCTCCCAAAGTCCTGGGATTACAGGAGTGAGCTACCATGCTGAGCCTATTCTACTGTTGATAGACAACTGGCTGTGTCCAGTTTGGCTCTATTATAAAAAATATTATGAACATTCTTAAACATGCCTTCCAGCTTACATGTACAAGAGCTTCTTTAGGGTATATACCTGTAGAGATTACAATTTCTAGGTTGTGGAAGGTGCACATAGTCTACTTAGAATGCTTTCAGCAGCAAAAAAAAAAAAAAAAAAAAAAAAAAAAAAAAAAAAAAAAGAAACCATGTAATTCTAACTTAAAATTACTTAAACAATAAGAACATTTACTATTCCATGTAATAAGAAGTCCAGACGTAAGGAAAATCTAACATTGTTTATCTCAGTGGTTCAATAGTGTCATCAGCGATCCTGGTAATTTCCATCTTCCACTGTGCCATCCTTAGGGTCTCTCTCACTTTGCTCTCAGGCCAGGCCCCTCATAATCATGAGATAGCTGCAACAGCTCCAGATATTATATACAATCATGACTACACCCGGAGAGAGAAGAAGCCATCTCCTCTGATGTTTCTTTTTTGGTATAAGAAAACCTTTCCCTGAAGACCCCAGCAAACATTCTCCCACCTCGTAGGCAAGAATTGCATCACATACCCTACCTAAAGGAATCACTGGAAAGGGAAATAAAATTCATCTAAGCCAATTAAAATATTTAATACACACACTCAGAGCCTGAAGAGAGGCCCCTTCCCTGAGCACCTAAATTATTGGCAGGAGGTTGTATCTTTCACCCATTTCTCTTAACTTTTGCTGTCATTAAATATGATGATGTGTATTTTTATTATGAAAAATGAAATATCTAACATATGCACACTAGAGAGAAGAGCATAATAAAATAATAAACCCCATCCCATAAGCTCACCATTGCCCAGCTCCACAATTAACTCATGGCCCATTTCCCTCTGTCTATATCCCACCCATCTCCCCTATCTTCCCCTAGATTCATTTGAAACATATCCAGCTATAATGTCATTTCATCTGTAAACATATCACTATATATCTTAAAAGGACTCTTTTTAAAACCAAACCACAATACAGTCATGATATCTATTAAAAATAACAGTTTGCTAACATCAACAAATATACTGTCAATGTTCAAATTTCTCCAATACCTCATAAATGTGTATGTATTTAAATATTTTGTTTGTATTGGGATTCAAATAAGGCCCAAATATTACAAGTGCTTGATATGTCTCCTAAGTAGGACCAGTTATTCTTTAAAAAAAAAATCAAAGTTCAGTAAATGAGGAGGATGTACAGTTGAAGAAATGATAGCACAGGTTGAAGCCCCCAGGTTAACAGGCTGCAACCGTGATGTGAATGGCCTCCCTCTAAGATCCACAGATGATGGTCAGTGATCACACCCAGAGATGCTGTATCAGGGCAAGTTACATTATAATCTAGCAGAACTTTGTGTCCCTGAATAGGGCAAGAAATATTAAAGATTCAGATCTCTCAGGAAAAGCTTATCAAAGAGAAAAGAAGATGATTAAAAACTGAGTAGGGAAGAACATGGAATTAATCTTAATTTAATTTCAGCAAGAATTTGTCTTTAAGAAATTAGCCATTATCAAGAGATTCATGCAGATTGTGAAAGACCAGAAAGTTATAGTTCCCTGGAGAATATCTATTGATTAAAATGAAATTAAAAGGTATAAAAGATACTGGCTCCAACTCAACACTTCATTATAATCAATCTGCTTTTAATCTATGCTTTGTTTTTAAAATTAGGTTATAAATACTTGAAATTATTGGTATTGGGATTTTTAAAATGTAGAATTGAGAAGAGAAACTACTAACAGAAGGGGAAGTGATATAGAGCTAATAAGATCTCTTGCTGCTGTTTATTACTACCTTTCCTGCTTCTAAAAATGATTTGCAATAACAAATATATAGATTTGATAAGACAGGAAAAACATGAAAGCAGAGTAAAAAGGCAGGATTCAAAAAATGAGAGAAGGAGGAAAAAAGGAGAATTAAAGCAGAAAACATGGGCTTTAAAGGAAAGTATTATCAAACAGAAAATGAAGGCAAGAAATTCCTTTTACTTTATATACTTAAGCATTTATTTAATATTATTTTAAACAAGTAATAAAACTAACAAAACTTTAAAAAGCTTGCTGTCCTCTTTCTCCATTTTTCCAATCTGTTTTTTGTCCACTATGTAAGGGAACCAAGATCATAAGTCAGTTGTGGTAGTTCAATGAACAGAAAATGCTGAATACCAGCACAGCTTCTCCAGGGGTTAGGCATGGAAGAATGGCTGTGCCCAAGAAAGGGTCTAGGCCAGTGCTTCTCAACAAAGAGACATCTGGCCCCCAAGAGACATCTGGCCATGTCTAAAGACATTTTTATTTGTGCTGTTGTCAAACAAAATGCCCATTTGGGGTACTTTTTGTCATCTATTGGGTAGAGATCAAGACTGCTACTCAATACCCTACAATGCATTGGACAGCCCCCTAACAATAAAACTTATCCAGCCCAATACTCCAACAGTGCTAGATTGAGAAACCCTGACCTAGTGGATAGAGCTCAACAACTTCAGTGCACGAGCCCGTCATGCACCATTAACATTCACACAGTAACTTCTCTCTCCTTTGTCCAACAAATTCTTTCTTTATATTTTTTTCTTTGTCATTGCCTTCGCCATAATCAAAATGTAAAAACTCCTTTCTAGTTTATTGCAAATGATCTCCTGGCTCACTTTAATTCGTATTACACAGCTTCCTGATTAATTTTTTTCAGACATTGTAATTCATTCCCTCTCACCTAAAGAATTGCAGTGGCTTCCATTTTGTCTACCACAGCAAAGCTAAAGTCCTCATCCTGACACCAAGCTAGTCCATCAAGATTGATTTTTCACTTTTATGATTTTACCTTCAATCACCATAGCTTCTTTGCTCCAGCCAAGGCATTAGAAGATCTTCTTCCCTCTCTGTGAGGAACGCCTCTGCCCGGCCCCCGCCCTGTCTGGGAAGTGAGGAGCGCCTCTGCCCAGCTGCCGCCCCATCTGGGATGTGAGGATCGCCTCTGCCCGGCCGCTGTGCAACCTTCCAAGTGTGAAGTGACAGCCTTGTGTGTGATCTTTTCTGTCTTCCCCAACTTGTAAACTTTTTAATTTAAAAAAAAAAAGAAGATCTTTTTCCCTCTCTTTCCCTTCACCTGGTTCAACCTGCCTCCTGGTTGTTTTTTGCTGTTTGGTAAAGAATAATTCATGAAAAGTAAAAAAGTTTTTAAATTGCTTCTACCATGGATGAGCAGAACAATAGCAGAAACTCCTATTAGGTTGGTGCAATTACTTTTGCACCACTCTAATACAAATTTAAATAAATTAAAGGAATTTAACTAGGCTTCTCTTCATTTCCTATGTCAGGAAACTATTTTCAACATTAAAGACAAACAAAAAGGCTTTTCAAGCAAAAACATTTCAATTAATTATACTTTCTTATTTTCTAAAAGGTCTAATTAGTATAGTTTTTTTAATGAAAATGTTGCTTTAGAAACCAAGTAAATTAGGGAGATATCATTCATGCCTTTTTAAAAATCTTAAAAAAAAGGTACTTCAGGTTTAAAACACTTTCTTTACATATTAAACCCTACTGGTATAAGAAAAGATAAGTTATGAAAATTGGATTTACATTTTCCAGTAAAACCTATTGCATAAGAAAATTACTCCCCTATTTCAGATAATGGCTAAGTCCATAACATTTCTAGTACAGAAACTGGACATGTTTAGTTTGAATAAAAGAAAAATGAGCACTGTTTTAAAATATTTAAGAAGTTGTTATACAGAAAGATGATTAGATAAGCTTTCAAAGTTGCTTACTAGGGGAGAACCAGGACAAACAGGAGGCAGTTGCAAAGGGAAGATTTTTGGCTCTGTATAAGGAGGAAGTCATGTTGCCAATCTGATTTTGAAAGAGCTTCAGGAATGTCTCAACACCATCATTTCAGTTAGGAAAATGTCCTATGGCCAAAAACTGATGACCTTTCCTGCAGAATTCCCTCCTTAATGTGTCATGTGTGATGCATGCCCTAGCCCCACTACTTCTAGCTTCAGTTTCTCAGAACGTCTGGATCCCAGCTTCTTTCAGCATCTGGGCAGTACTACATATCACACTTGGATGCAATTATATTGCTTCTCTGCTCAACTGCAGAAGTCCCCCTGTTGTCTACAAAACAAAGTCATAACCCCTCAGCATGGTTTTCAAGGCCCTTCACAACCTGCTCATCACCACTCAACCCACTGCCTCAGCCAGGTGGATGTAAAATAGGTCAAACTTTGTTTCTTTTTAGATAGAGTTAAAGAACTGACTTAGGAAAATGTTACAGACACAATGCATCCAGAGAGTATAAAGGAATTTGAAAATCTATGGTCAAGTTAGAGAAATATGAACCAGATATCAGGACATTTAGGAGGATCTGTAACTAGATGATGATCAAATACTGATTAATGGAAGATTGCCAGCCTAAAAATGTTTCTAATGGTGGAACACAGAATGTTGCCTGCTCAATGACACGGTTAAAAATATTGAACTTGTGCTCATCACATTTACAGATTTCAAGATGCTGAGACAGAAAGCAAATACACTGAAAGGGAGAAACAGGAAATAAAAAGCTATATGACCAGGACACTGAACAAAAGCAGATAAAACCCAACAAAGGCAGGGAGACAATGACATCACAGAACCATTTGTGGGAAAGGCATAAAGATTTCATACACTTGCAAGCTTAACCTGAGTGTGACTCTCAATCAGAAAAGAAGCTAATATAATCTTGGGTTGTATTAATAGACATACAGTAGCCATAATAAAGAAGATAAACGTTCCCCCATCTTCTATAACCTAAATGAGAAAGGAATTGGTGATGGTTAGCCTGGAGAAAGAAGGTAAATTGATTGTTCTCTTTAAATATTTTTAAAAGGTGTCATGTTGAAGCAGCCCTCAAAAGTTCAATGTACAATGGGTAAAATAAAAGAGGAGATAAATTTGGGTTTTCTTTCTAGCAATGAGAACTGCCATAGAGAGAATAAGGTCTCCATTACTAGAATGGAGCAGTTTTACATATACTGTAGGTTGGACTTAAGTCCTAGAGAGGAGATTAGAATAAATAACTTGGTATTTTAAACCTTGAGATTCTACAGCTTGAGTATCCCAGAAAGCTGAGGGTCACTGGGTAAAAATGTGGTACTGGTGGATTGAGAAGGGTGGGGACTAGTGAAGGAAAGTTGCTCCATTCTCAAGAATTGTGGAGCAAAACTCTTGCTGTCTCTGAACAAAGCTCTATTAGACATGTTGAACTGTACTTCCACACTCATTTGGTACAAAATCTAATAATAGAATTATAGGGGAAATTCTCTTTCCATTTTATGCTTTGTAAAAACTTAAAAATGTTTCCTCTTCCTAAATACTCTGTAAGATCTCTTTTCTAGGTTGTGTACAACATGGATTTGCTAGGCATTTTCCAGGAGTAATTTTTCAACTATAATTAAGTAAAAGCCTGACAATCGATTGTAAAATAAATCTGGTACTGAGAACTACAATTTGTGGTTCTAATTTTTTTTTGAAATTATTTTGTGTCTAAGACAACTAGTAAAATAAACATATCTGCTTACATACATAGGTCTCTTCTTACATCGCTGTCAAAATGATGGCATTGGTCTGAGTGTTTTTGCTCTTCAACAATATTACAGGCATTTGGTCAACGTTCCTACAGGATTTACCTGTGCTGGCTTTGTATCGGTGATTCACGGACACATTCACTGTCTCAAGCTCCTAAGGACTTCCAGGCCTCTAGCGTGCCTATTTCCCATTCCCCACCACCTCATCACGCATTTCCTTGAAGCACTAGATATGGCAAGAAGTCTTACTGGGTCGGGCGTGGTGGCTTATGCCCGTAATCCCAGCACTTTGGGAGGCTGAGGCGGGTGGATCACTTGAGCTCAGGAGTTTGAGACCAGCCTGGCCAACATGGTGAAACCCCGCCTCCACTAAAAACACAGAAAGTAGCTGGGCATGGTGGCATGCGCCTGTAAGCCTAGCAACTCCAGTGGCTGAGGCAGGAGAATCACTTGAACCCAGGAGGCGGAGGTTGCAGTGAGTCGAAATCATGCCACTGCACTCCAGCCTGGTTGACAAAGCAAGACTCCATCTCAAAAAAAAAAAAAAAAAAAAAAAAGAAAGAAGAAAAAAGAAGTCTTGCTGGCCAGAGCTCTCAAAACTTCATTTTTCTGCCTTTCCTTTCTCTTGCGACAGCAGTTTCCAAATTTAGTGTGCATCAGAATTACCTAGGGAGCTTGTTAAAAATATGAATTCCAAGGCAGCATCCTTAGGTGTTCCGATGTGATGTTGACAGGGAGAAACCATTTTTAACAAGTTCCCCTTCCCCTAGTCCGGGTATATATTTATTATTTACTTATTTACACAGGAATTCAATAGATTATGCTTTGAGAAACAATCTCTAAAGGATTCAAAATTGGTATGAGGAGAGATGTACACTGTAGTACTTTTCTCATCAGACCTAATAAAATTTGTTGATGATCTACTTCTTTACACTAATGACTGATTAAAGTAAATATGTCTCCCCATCCATATACCTGAAAGTGACCTACAGATTCAATGTAATGTCTATCAAAGTCTCAATCACATTTTTTTCACAGAAATAGAGAAAACAATTCTAAAATTTGTATGAAAGCACAGAAGACCTTGAGTAGCCAGTCAATCTGTAGCAAAAAACAAAAAACTAAACAAATAAAAAAAACACCATGAAGCTGGAGGCATCACACTACCTGACTTCAAATACACTACAAAGCTAGAGTAAACAAATTCAGTATGGTTCTGGCATAAAAACAGACACATAGACCAATGGAACAGAATAGAGAGCCCAGAAATAAATCCATGCATTTATGGTCAATTGATTTTTGACAAACATTTCAAGAATACATAATGGGGAAAGAACAGCCTCTTCAGTAAACAGTGTTGGGAAAACTGGATACCCACACGTAGAAGAATGAAATTAGACCCTTATTTCATATCATAGACAAAAGTAAACTCAAGTGGATTAAAGACTTACATTTAAGACCTAAAACTGTAAAACTACTGGAAGAAAATGATGCGAAAAGCACACTAAGAAACAAAAAGCTCCTTCACATGGGACTGGACAATGATTTTTTTTAATGTGACCCTGAAAGCGTGGGCAGCCAAAGCAAAAATAGACAAAAAAGGAGTATATCAAAATAAAAACATCTGCACAAAAAAGGAAATAATCAACAGAATAAAGAGACAGCCTATGGAATGGGAGAAAACATTTGCAAACCATATATTTGATAAGGGGTTAAATATAAAAAATGTATAAAAAACTCAAACAGCAAGAAAACAAATAACCCTATTTAAAAATGAGCAAAGGATCTGAATAGACACTTCTCAAAAGTGGACATACAAATAGCCAGCAGGCATATAAAAAATGATCAGCATCACTGATCATCAGGAAATAGCAAATTAAAGCTACAATGAGATATGACCTCACACCTGTTAGAATGGTTTTAATAGAAAAGGAAAAAAATAACAAGTATGGATGAGAATGTAGTGTAAAGGGAACCACTGCATACTGTTGATGTTGAATGTGGTTGGTACAGTCATTATGAAAAACAGTACGTAGCATCCTCAAAAAGTTAAAAATTAAAATTAAAAATAGAACTATCATATTTCTACGTCTGTGGATATTTGTTTTTCAGGATTGCAGTGGTTTTCAAACCTAAAGATTCTAAACTCTTTGAAGAATCATAATGGCTCACTGATCTGCTTTAATTGCAATGTCCATTCATATGATTTTATTTTTTAATTATTTACTGACAACATTTACTGCCTTAGTGGCAGCAGTTCCTATGTCAGAGCTCAAAGCAGAGAATTAATATTTGTGCACAAGTCAAAGGGATGGGCTCCCAAGATGGACTGCAAACTGGGGTCACAGTCCAGGTCCCAGTGCTGCCCCCACGCCATACCCACCTCTTTTTCAGGGCCAGGGATACTGCTGTCATCACCACCAATCTAGACCCGAGTCTTGACCCCCAGCTGCACCTCACCCCACTAGGGGAGCCAAGGGATCCCAGACTGCCTAAGGCATGTGCTTGCCAGGTCAGATGCTCATTGTGTGCCACTGCCTGCTGCTAGGGTGCCTGCCAGCTTGAACCCATGTGGGCTGCACCTTCAGGGGCTCCTCTGCTCATGCAGATGTTCCTTATTCCATAAGCACAAAACTAAAATTATGAAGAATTCAAGAGAGCAACAGGAGAGCACTAAATCAAGTACGGGGCCCCTTCTGAGAGAAGGGTTGTGTGTAGCTGCACCAGGTTGTGCACCCATGAAACTGGCCCTGCTGGAAAGAGAAGTGATGCAGTTCCTGGGAATTAAGTAGATGTGACCATTTATGCTGTCATCTTAGGAGCACAACAGGAAGAGGGACTTCTTTCCTCTGTATTTTACTGTACTCATTTCTCAAAAATATAGCCCTCAGCATTTCTTCTGATCTTGCAGTGCCAGCAGCTGAAATCTTAATTTATAATTTTCCCTGCATAGCAAATTTGCTACCCCCTTTTAAAAAAAAAATGGTTGTAATTTGTTTTTCTTATTAAGATGAAACCTAATGGATCTGTGATGCTGAGCTATCTCTTATCCACACGCAACACTTGCAGGTATTAGCTTTTTTGAGAAAAAAGTATTTCTCCCACATTTCCTGAGCCATACAAAACTATTTTTAAACAATACAGATGCCAGTCATTTGAGTAGAATGGAGGCTTGTCAGAATTTTCACCAGAACAGAGTTTATTTTCCAGTCAAAAGTCTTGCATCCTGCGAAAATATTTAGTCTGGTGACCTTCACCAGCCTGCCAAGCCCTGTGACCCAAACTTTTCTGAAATTTCTGTGTTCCTATATTCTGCTTATCATAGTCTCTCCTCTACCTTGCTGTTTTTGCTAACTAGAATAATCATCATTCCAGCTCAAGCTTATGACTACCTTGGTATTCTGACTTATGGTCTGTTATTTTTGTGATTTAGTTTTTTACATTTAAGGATCTCTCTCCTTCAATTTCTATTCACAAGCCTAAATCAAAGCACTACATTTTGAGTCCATTTGTGTTCAGCAAACAAGGCATATTTAGAAACATTGAATATATGTTTACAGTTAACTTCTTTTTCTGTCCAAGTTACCTGGTTTAATGCTGTTTTATCTACCCCTAATTTGTTGTAAAGCATTTTGTTTTGGAAATATTTCCCCAAAGTATGTACACATATATCAGTACACATACACACTCTATTTCAGTTCTCCAATACTGAACATTTTCTCTGTGCTCTGACTGCTACAATAAGCACTTGACTGCAAGAGTTTATACACAAGCTAAAAAATGCTCACTGCTGAGTTCTCTCATTTTGCCTTCCTACCGTGACTGTGTTTTCCCTTTCTACAGTGAGTGTGTTCTGTATAGTGTCCGTGTTCCTCAGTCTTTATTTCTGCCAATTATTCTGGGTCTGGTCAAGCACTTTAACAGCTAACAAAATGTTTGGAATTAATAGAGGTGGGCTTGCATCCAAGAATGCAAGGAAAATATCATGCTGTATTATTTATTTAAGTTGTAAGGCAGCTGGTGTTACCCTCAAAGAAATAGATGTGGAAACAGGGTAAAGCTCAAAAGACAATTTCTTTCAGGGATTGGTGGAAGCACGGTGACATTAGAACGCATCATAAACATATCTGTAGCATGGGACAATTGACCTGCCTAGAAGACGACTGGGCCAGGAGCATGACATAATTTCAAGTCAGTTGAAGAAAATAGAAAAGGTATTCAACATCAACATAAAATGCCAGGAATGCTTGGTCTTGACAGCTGTGCTATAACAACCTTGTATGACATTAATTAAGTTAGCAATCCTATGTTCCAATATACATCCTCGTTGACAAACAGGGTGTATGTGTACAATACAGTAGCATCTTCCTATAAAACTCATCACTATAAGAACTACTGCTGTTCAATTTAACCTAATTCTAAAATTCTTACTCAGCTAAAATGAGTTATTATATTTAAGTTCATTTCCCATTGTACTTTCAAGATTCTTACATACCTATAAAATGATAGTTGGCAACATCATATTTATCAAAACTGAGTAGCTACAATGTTTAAGGCACTGCAGAGACAGAAAGCTAAGACATACCGTCTCAGTACTCAAGGAGTTTGGAGAAAAGGAAAGAGCCAGTGATCACATACTGAGAACAAAGACCACGTGAGTTCCAAGAATGGAGGGAATGCTGAGGGCTGAGGTGGTTGGCCAGAGGTGTACAATGGTAGAGGGACTTGGGATGGATGCTAAGTAAGGATTGCACTTCCACAGGGAATGAAGTGATGGCAGTTACAATGCAGAGATGCAGAGGAAGGCACACAAATGGGGTTTAGGAAATAGGCTGAAAAGCCTGAATTAATGGAAAGGCTTTCACGGGGCAATGGTGGGAATGACTGCACCAGTTCAGGAATCACTTGGTTGCATGTGATGGAAACCCAACTTGAACTAGCTTAACAAACACGAGCAAATCAGGATAGCAGTTTGTCTTACACAATTCAGAACAGAAATCTGGCAGTGAACCTGGAAACATTTGGAACAAGGGACTCTGTCTGTCATCCTGCTCCTCTGGGTTCGTGTTTCATCTTCTCTTCGGCTCTGCAGACAAGACACATGGTAGAAAACGTGAGCACTGACCCCCCTGAGTGCCACAACTCACAGCTCCAGCAATTCAGAGAGGAGGAGAATGGGCATTGTTCTCATTTCTAAAATGAGAAGGACACTGACTGGCCAGGGTATAGGATCAGTTTATTTCCATGAAGACTCTTTTGAGAAGCCCAGAGATTAACTCAAGGGATGTAGGGTACTTTAGAAAGGGGTGTGGTTCTAAAAAAGGTGTTTGACAAAGAAAATGGTTATACTAAAAATGCATACATATTACATAGAAAAACAGTATCCATAAACATAGATATTCATTAAAATTTTCAAATGCCATATTTTCCATTTCTTAACCTCCTCAATTTGAAATTACAAATGCTTAAAACCTGACATCAAAATGTCAACCTGAAATAGAATTGATTCATTCCTGTTATTCTTCCCCAAAAATAGTTAATTTCACCTGCAATTATTAGAACAAAATGCTGAAGTAGATTTATCTTAAGGACTCACTGATGCTTTGTATTCTTTGTCAGTGTCTCACTATATCCACATTTCTTCCTCCTGCTTGTTTTTCTTTATTGAACTAAACCAGCATATCTAATTCTTTTACAAATTAATCTGCTCTTCTTGTTAGAGTGAAACCTTTTTATAATGATAATTGAAAGAAACCCCCAAAGTATAGATTAACTATGTTGTATCAGGATTTTATTGTGCATATTGTTTTGAGATCTAACATTTTATCAGTTTCTTATAATAAACCATATTATAAGGAGTAATTACTGCCTTCATTCAGAAAAGATTATACAATAGCTTTTGACTTAAATAGGAGCTCTGCATATTTCAATGCTGTAGTGAAAAACTATAGGTAGAAGCATGATAGAAAAACTAATATTTGTTCTATGGCATCTCTGACATTTTAAGAGGTATAGGTTCTACAGCCAACATTCCCCTTAAAACAATTTTGATGTTTGTTTCCTGGAACATTCCTCTTTGCCATATCCAATCCCTTCATCCCAGGTCTGTTACACCATGTACCCCAAAAGCTGAGGCTCAGCCTCCTTGGAAGCAGGAACCTCCTCTGACTCATGTGGCACTGTATCCCAGTACCTTCAGCAGTGCTGAGGCCAGAGAAGACAATAAGCAAATATTGAATAAATGAACGAATTACATAAAATATTTGTATTCATAAACAGAGTCAAAACATCCTTCAAGCAAAATGAACAAGGTTAAAATGGAGAGGTCAGTGAGGCAGAGACAAACATCCTATAATTGTTTTCTTCCTTTAAAAATGTCCCCTCATATGCATACACAGTAAGTTATTCTTCACATACCAAAGCAGAATAATTCCAAACTCCTTTCATTCCAGTCCTGTTACTGCTTGAGGATAAAGTTCAGTCTTTAAAGGACAAAGAAGCTTCTTGCCGGGAGTTGGCCAGACAGCTCAGGACACAGCTCTGCAGCCCATTCTGATTGTCCAATGTTTCTTTTGATAAATAGCATGATTGCACTGCCTGGAAAAGTAATTCCTTCTAGATGCTGGCAACAGTCATTCTGAACCATAAAAACTGTACAAGGAAATGATGAGAGTGTCAGCAAACTCAATCAGTAGGATGAGATCAGCTTTTATTGGGCTCCTTGGATAACCAGACAGCTCATAGCATGCTCCATGAATCAAATCTGCCCAAGCCCCAACATCTAGTTTCATACAGCACACCACATGTCCTTCTGCTACCCCAAGACATTGGCCTAATTCGCAGAAATGAAGAGCATATGGTGGGAGGGAGGGAAAGGGCAGACTCTAGAAGTTTGAGGTATGTATGGGGCAATCCAGGGGGAGATATGCATTAGTAGATATAAAAGGCTAGAGATCAGTGATGACCTAAATCATAGCTAACATGTATTAAACACTTGCTAGGCACTGTGCTAAGAGCTTAGCCTATGTGACTTTACTTAGCCCTTGCAACAATTCTTTGATATGCTCTGCTTTATTCTTCATTTTACACACAAGGAAAAAGAGCCTAAGTGAGATTAAGCAACTTGTTCATAACTAATAAATGATAGCATTAGAACCTGAGCCACTGTCTTTCTGAATCCAGAGTCTGTACCCTTAATCCCCACATACACTGTCCTATAGAAAAAAGTTCTAAGCTGAATCTCCTTTTTCCCTACCTCCCATCACAGCCAGCCTTCTTATGGCCATTGTTTCTCTACTTTGAATTCAGTTTAATCAGTCTCCAATGACAGCCGTCACTTCCCATCCTCATCACTCCACTGAACCTGCTATGAGTGTACCAGTTAGGATGTTTAGGAATGCAACTAGCAGAATACCCAAACAGAGAGAAGCCTATATAAAAGGGTTGTTTTATTTTTTTCTCCCAGAATAGGAAAGCCCAAAGCTGAACAGGCCTATGAGTTGTTCAGTAGCTCAATAATGTTATCGAGGACCCAGGCTGTTTCTTTCACCCTACCCTCTTGTACACATTGGCTTCATCCTCCAGCCTGTTGCCCAGTGATTGCAAGACAGCTGCACTCCCTCAACTGTACCCAAACTGAGGAAAGAAGGAAGGAATAGGAAAATACCACTGCTTTTGCACTTTTTTCATTATATCAGGCAAGAAATCAGTCATATTTTACCTATGTCTCACTGGAAGTGTGTTTTAGGGCTGTCTGTAGCTGAAAGGGATGCTAGGAAAGAAACGTGTCTGGCATTTTTATAGTCTCAGTTGTGGGAGGCAGGTTCAAGGATCCAGCAACATTAAAGAAGAGGAAGGGCTCTTGCTCTTTAGAAGCTTTTGTTTCCTCTTGAGTAAGCAAAGAGAAGTGTCTGCCACCTCCCTGCTAATTCAGAGGACTACATATGGTAGAGATTTCTCGTGTTCACCAGCATCTGTGTCCTTTTCTTCTTCATGGGTTCTACGTTCCTCAGCCCTTTGGAATCTAGAACAACAGAATGTGATCAAGCGGCAGGATCACATAGGTTGAAAGAGTTAAAAATGGAGGTACCTTCTTCATAACTTCTCCTTTATCCAAATGCAAAAGATTCCGTGGAGGATTAGGGAGTCATAGAGCTTCAAACTGGAAGTAAGCTGGATCGCTGGATGACAGCATGGAGCACAGCCCCAAATCTACTCTGCTGTGTAACATGGAAAAGGAATATATTATGTTAAGCCACTCAGATGTGAGGGTAGTTTGTTACCGCAGTTAACCTGACTTGACTAAACAGAACATACATTTTTTGGAAATGAGAAATATCCTATACGTTCAACAAGCAAAAAAGCCTATCCCCTACTGCTTCATTAATTTGCAATGTCTTTCAGGTCTCTGTAGGTATCTCAACCCTAGAATAATATAAAGTGTGGAAGAAGAAAAATAGGTTATAACAATGGCAATTCAAGTAAAATTGGTTGGGGAAGCCAAGAATTGTAGAAAGAGGATGCAAGTCCCATTACTGGGTATATTCCCAAAGGATTATAAATCATGTTGCTATAAAGACACATGCACACGTATGTTTATTGTGGCACTATTCACAATAGCAAAGACTTGGAACCAACCCAAATGTCCATCAGTGATGGACTGGATTAAGAAAATGTGGCACATATACACCATGGAATACCATGCAGCCATAAAAAAGGATGAGTTCATGTCCTTTGCAGGGACATGGATGAAGCTGGAAACCATCATTCTCAGCAAACTATCACAAGGACAAAAAACCAAACACCACATGTTATCACTCATAGATGGGAATTGAACAATGAGAACACATGGACACAGGAAGGGGAACATCACACTCCGGGGACTGTTGTGGGGTGGGGGGATGGGCGAGGGATAGCATTAGGAGATATACCTAATGTAAATGACGAGTTAATGGGTGCAGCACACAAACATGGCACAAGTATACATATGTAACAAACCTGCACGTTGTGCACATGTACCCTAGAACTTCAAGTATAATAAAAAAAAGAAAGAAAGAAAGAAATGGGTGCAAGATGTGTGCCTGGAGAGGGTAGGAAGAGAAATGAACAGAGGAAATCTATTTCACAATTTTTCTCTTCTCCTCTACTCAGCTACCCCTCCCTCTCACATACACATTCCTCTCTCTTTTATATTCAGTCTCTGCATATCATTTGCACTTTTTTACTTGTAGATCTTGAAACATTCTTTGGAGTTTTATAAATTCCCTATTAACATGAAACTTAAGATTCATGACATAGCCATTAAGAATAATGCCAACCTAGCCTCCCTAGCTAAAGAGATCTTCTATTTGGGAGAAAATGACTGAGGTCTAGAGCAGGAATTTTCACTTGGTCTGAATTAGGTTTTTGGAAAAAAACACAGAGTCACTCAGGCTAAGTCAAGGTAAGGGGGATAACTATAAAAAGATACAAAAACAGAGACTTCCTAGGAATCCACAAACAGAAAAAAAAAAAAAAAACCCCACAAATACAAAAGTTGCACTGGGGACTTCAACAGCAAAATTTCCACATCTTCTCTTTAATGGCCATACTATTAAAGGATATACTATCAATTACTCTCTACATTTCCTGTTTCTGTTGTTATAGCTTCTTAATTCTCCTGTAATAATAATAAGCTGTTTCCTCAACATCTACCTAGTAGCATTTTTCTACATTAATACCTCTACTTACTTACTGCTTCTTTCTTTATAACTTCTATTTGTTCATAACCCCCCACAGCTCCTATTCTTTCTCATGACATTTATGCATGTATAATTTTATCTTCTCCTCAACTGCACCATCAGCTCCTACTGCTACTTGGCTTAGTCTAGCTCAGTCGACTATGGACAGGTGGAGGCAGACATTTGTCATACTGCAAATGTCTATCTAGGGCCCAGCGGCCATGGTCCTAACAAATACTGGGATGGACATAACCAGTGTAACATTTACCGAGCTATTAATTCTCAATAGATAAACTTCACAGACCTGTGTTACGTAGTTTTATCAGTGTTCAAGCTTTCGCTTGTGTGAATAGGCAAGGCAGCTATATACGCATTCTTTGGCAAATATTCATAGGCATTGGCTAACTTTAGGTTTTGAGCCCTGCTGGGGGACAATATGTATACAACTACATAAGTATACATAGTTGTACTTTGTAAGTACACATAGTTGTATACATAAAGACCTAAATGAATTACACAGTACACCCTTCTCTTACCACTTTCATCTACTAAGGCTACCTGTTATGCACTCATCCAACAATTTTTAAAATACAGGTAAATGTCAACTTTTCTTATAAAGTAATATATGCAAATGGAAAATTTCAAATATTATACAAGAATACTAACAAACTACACGTCTCCCTGACCTCCTACCCAAGGCTCCTATTACCCCTCCCTAAAGGTAGCAACTATGCTTCCATAATTTTTATACAAACAAATTCAAATGTAAATGGGAAAAGGTAGCTAAAGGTGAAATAGGGAAGAAAAGCAATCATACTCAATTTATTTGGACAATTGCAGGGGCCTTATGGAGCTGAAGAGTGGGCTCCTTTTCTTCCTCTAAGAGGCCTAATGAGTCTCACTGTCTTGCTAGAAACCTCAGAGGGAAAATTCCACAATGCAGAACTGATTGCCTCCATCAGATCCGAGTGAAAGTTCTTTGTGCAAGTCAGATAGCACCTTTTAGGCGGTCGCCAAAATATACAAGAATTGGTGGGTAAAAGCTAGCTGGTGTCAAAGACCAGATTTTATGTCCCATTAAATAAGACTGCTGCAGGAGGAAAAACCTGTCCATTCAGTAGGAAACTCCCAGATGTTCAGTCTGATAAATTGGAATCCCATCTAGCCCTTTTGTCCTCCCACCATCATTTATAAATGTCAGTAAATATTTCTCTCTTCAAATAACAAACATCGAAGGTCTGAGTCAAAATAGATTTTGTTGCTTCAGGAAATCTCATAAAGTTTGCGATGATGGAGGCAATGCCCACTGCTCTGTTCTTATGATAAAAATCTCTAAAATTACTAAGGACCATCTAAAACCTCTAAGGGGACCCTGTGTAAGTTTCTTGCCTCCTCATAATTCTCTCTTACCCTTTTAGTCTAGGTAACACACTTCTGTTTGCCTCTCCTGTACTAAATTCCCAATTCTCCAGTAGTGTCCTGCATTGCCCCACAAGAGAAAGTTAATCTCTTACTTTCAAAATGTAAAAGATGTAGGGCCAGGCACGGTGGATCACGCCTGCAGTCCCAGCACTTTGGGAGGCCAAGGCAGCCAAATTGCTTGAGATCAAGAGTTTGAGGGCAGCCTGGTCAATATGGCCAAACCCTGTCTCTACAAAAAATAAAAAAATTAGCTAGGTGTGGTGGCACGTGCCTGTAGTCCCAGCTACTTGGGAGGCTGAGGCACAAGAATTACTTGAGCCTGGGAGGCAGAGGTTTCAGTGAGCCAAGACCTTGCCACTGCACTCCACCCTGGGCAACAGAGCAAGACTCTGTCTCAAAAAAGGAAAATATTTAAAAATAAAAGATGTAGTTAACCCTGCAAAAGCTGATACCATGCCACTTCTTTTTTTTTTTTTTTTTTTTTTTTTTGAGACGGAGTCTCGCTCTGTCACCCAGGCCGGACTGCAGACTGCAGTGGCGCAATCTCGGCTCACTGCAAGCTCCGCTTCCCGGGTTCACGCCATTCTCCTGCCTCAGCCTCCCGAGTAGCTGGGACTACAGGCGCCCGCCACCGCGCCCGGCTAATTTTTTTGTATTTTTAGTAGAGATGGGGTTTCACCTTGTTAGCCAGGATGGTCTCGATCTCCTGACCTCATGATCCACCCGCCTCGGCCTCCCCAAGTGCTGGGATTACAGGCGTGAGCCACCGCGCCCGGCCACCATGCCACTTCTTAATGATGATCTAGGACATGATTCACCAAACTATAACCCACCGGTAAAATCTGGTTGTGTAAATAACACTTTATTGGAAAACAGCCACATTCAATTGTTTACATATTGTCTGTGGCTGCTTTTGCACTACAATGGCAGCACTGAGTAGATCTAACAGAAACTATATGGCCCACAAAGCCCCAAATACTTACCATCTGGCCCGTACAGAAAGAGTTTGTTTACCCTTGATGTAGGAGGTTGGATGGGGCAATCTATCTTCAATGTACTTTTAGCAAAACACATAAGATTTGACAAACAGTGGCCTTAATGTAAGACTACTGCTTATCTCACCTAAAGTCTAGAGGTAGGCAGGCCCAGTTGGTTCACAGATTGAACAATGACCTCAGAGACCCTGGATTTTTACCCTCTCCCATTCTGCCATCTTTATCAGATTGATTTACCACTTCAGAGTTTCCAGATAGCTACAATAGCCACAAGCATCCTCTTAGGACAGCAACCAAGACAGAAGAAATGGAAAGGGCAAAACAGATATTTTCTTATGAAATTCTTTATCATGAAAAAAAAGTTTTCCCAGAAAGCCTTGGTAGAAATTCTCAAATTGTTTTGCATGCATAGCCTTGGACCAATCACAAAGTGTACTGAGGTTTGCCATGGTGGGTTTGGAGCCAGGGTTGTCATGCCTGGTTGCATATTAGAATTATCAGCAAAGTAACTAACAAATTAGAAAACATTAACATCTGTGCCCTATCTCACTCCAATCATGGCAGACTCTTTCAGGTGGTTCCTAGTAGTGGTATTTTTCTTTTCTTTAACTCTTAAGAAGATTCTAATAGGTAACCAGGAATGAGAACCACCAGTTGAACTAATCATCATTCATTTCCTGGGGCTGAACATGTTTCTACATGAAAAAAAGCAGGGTTTATTGTATGGGAAGAAAAAGGAACAACTGGGTGGCTTCTGGGTAGGCGATCAATGAAGTTTGTCACAGTCATCTACATAGATACTGAAGCAATTCATATAAATGGTGGACTTGGGGGAAAGAGACTGGGAGCCAGAATCCACCCAGAATCTTCCATGAATGAGGGGGAGCACCTAGAAAGTTTATGGGTAACCCCTTCAAGCAGGGTAAAGGTCCATGAACTTCATTGGAAAAAAAGCCTACATGTAAAGATCACAGGAGACGGAGGTGTTGAGGGAGGGTAGGAATGTAGGAAAGAAAGGAGTGCTAAGGATACAATTAGTTCAATATTGGGCATATTGAAAGTAAAGTGTCTGTTATTTCAAGGTTGAGGTATCTAAAAGACTTACCAGTCTAGAGTTCAGAAAAGAAGTAAACTGCATTCTTTCTAGGACATTTTTTAGAACAGGTGGCTACTAAGAATTTCCCCAGGAAATTGGCTTAAACTGGAAATGTCCCAAGAAACTACTATCTATGGGGATGATGAAATCATGAATCGGAGGTTGTTCTGTGAGATGCTTAAAATACAAAGAAAAGTAAATATCTGCACCTTGAGATACAACAAACATAAATCAAACCTAATGCCAACTGTTAAGACTGTCAATTTATCCTGAACCCCTTCTAAAGATAACAGACATTTTGATATTTTACTTGACACATTTCAAGCTTTGATGGTAAAAGGAAATCACACTATTTTCAACTAATAAGAATAATAAAATTAGCAGGACAAATCCAAGACTTCCAATTCCAAATCCCTTGGATTGAATCCTCACTTAATCCAAGCTCTGATTTGCACATGACTGGTAACTGCAAAATCTGAGTGACCTTTTCATCTCCAATGAAACGCCCTGGGAAAATTGTTTTCCTTGCGCTCATTTCAAAACAGTAACTGCTCTACTTCATTTAAGATTCCTTGTCAAGGGAATTCAATTAGCATCAGCCTGAGGTTACCTCAGGACTTCTTAAAGTTTTTTATCCTGTGAAGTCCCTTGGGTTTTCCATGACTCACATCTACTGTCCACACAAAATAAGTTCACATTTCATCTTACAAATTCTGAGGTATTTCTGGTCTCCCCCTCACTATCACATCAAATCTGAAAGGAGGAAGTGCCCAAGGGGAGGGAGTAGGTGGTGAATGCCAGGTCACCCATAGTTCACTGCCTTTTCCCCAAGCAGCTATCCAGAGCACAGGGGCTGCGTCTCTGTGGCTTCCTGAGAATAGCCCATGATCTCCCTATGGGTCAACTCCCAGTTTAGAAAACACTGGGAAAATACTGAACGTCTGCTTTGTATAAAGACAGACTCTGAGTTAAATAGAACCCAGGAATGCTGAAACAATAACATTTGACAAATTTGCTCTACTAATAGCATAAAAATCTCAGCTTATCAATGGGAAAATATTTATTGCTTGCTATTATTAAAATTAAACAGGCCATCTTCATTGAACTATCATAAGATGAAAATTCCATTTATTCAGCCTCTAGTTCAACAAGTACTTGAGTGCCTACTATGTGCAAGACACAAGGTGACTAAAACACAATTCCTACTTTTCAGTAAACAAAAAAACTAAAAAAAAAAAACCCTTGCCAAAAACATAATATGATGCTATAATATGTCACAAAGGTGTCAGGGTGTGCCTGATTATATCTATAGGATTGCTATGATAGGCCTGCCAGAAATCCAACCACATGAGGCTCTTTCTAGGACGGCATCACGAGGACAGCATCAGGCAGGTAAGTCTGGCACTTCTGTACCTTCCTGGTCAGAGGGTAAGTGCAATTCTGACAGCCTATGGCTGTCAATTGGATGTTTGCTCTGTTCTTTGAGTAAAAACAGAAACAGCTGTTTTTACTAACATAAGTGATATTGGGCCAGATAGGAACACATCTTGGTACACTTTTCCCAAAAAGAAAGATTAATATCACCAAATTGTAAACAAATTTAGTCATTCAACAAATATTTATCAAGAGCCTACAATGTAGCGCAGTCACAAAGTTGAGGCCTAAGGAAAACAGGTAACACATGAATAATCTGCAGGCAACAGGAAGTAATCAATCTGATATATTTACAATTAATGAGATCTCATTGGAACAGAGTGTCCAATTGGTGACAAATTTTTAAAAGATGTGTGGAAACTAGAGCAGATTCAAAGTAAAATAGTAAGAATGATTAACAAAGAAAATTAGGTTACATAGGAAAAGGTTATATTAGAGTTCCTTAACTTAGAGAAGACTAAGGGCTGACTTGATTATCATCTTCATGACTGAGAGAGGCTTGATGCTGTTTTCCTTAAAGGCTCAGATGTGAGACAATGGGATAAAATTAAAGCATGTGTTTAGCCATTGATCCAATCAATAAACACACATAATAGGGGTATCTGCCTTGTTACGTAAAACAACAGAAGATTGTAGAAGCACGAAGAGAGTACAACATAGTCCCTGCTAATGAAAGGCATTTCATTTGGACATAGAACATAATTCCATAAAAAATCAGTTGATAAAACTCAAGAATTGGCTGAAGGAGAGTATGTAATATGAATAAATGCCTAGACATTGTCAAGAAGAAAATCGATTGCTACTCCAGATCATCACAATCAGGGCATAGAGCGAGATAATAACTCAAGTTTCCTTATACATTTGTGATACTAGAATCTGCACCCTAGTTTTACAGTCAACAGTTCCCTACAAAGTGACATTAAAAGTGATATATAACTATGATGTAAATAACTGGATTTATATTTGACCACTGACTAATATTATGATTTCATGTCATATATTCTTATGTCCATTTCTTTTTTTTATTTTATTTTTTATTTTTTTATTTTATTATTATTATACTTTAAGTTTTAGGGTACATGTGCACAATGTGCAGGTTAGTTACATATGTATACATGTGCCATGCTGGTGTGCTGCACCCATTAACTCGTCATTTAGCATTAAGTATATCTCCTAAAGCTATCCCTCCCCACTCCCCCCACCCCACAACAGTCCCCAGAGTGTCATGTTTCCCTTCCTGTGTCCATGTGTTCTCATTGTTCAGTTCCCACCTATGAGTGAGAATGTGCGATGTTTGGTTTTTTGTTCTTGCGATAGTTTACTGAGAATGATGATTTCCAATTTCATCCATGTCCCTACAAAGGACATGAACTCATCATTTTTTATGGCTGCATAGTATTCCATGGTGTATATGTGCCACATTTTCTTAATCCAGTCTATCATTGTTGGACATTTGGGTTGGTTCCAAGTCTTTGCTATTGTGAATAGTGCCGCAATAAACACACGTGCGCATGTGTCTTTATAGCAGCATGATTTATAGTCCTTTGGGTATATACCCAGTAATGGGATGGCTGGGTCAAATGGTATTTCTAGTTCTAGATCCCTGACTTCCACACTGACTTCCACAATGGTTGAACTAGTTTACAGTCCCAACAGTGTAAAAGTGTTCCTATTTCTCCACATTCTCTCCAGCCCCTGTTGTTTCCTGACTTTTTAATGACTGCCATTCTAAATGGTGTGAGATGGTATCTCATTGTGGTTTTGATTTGCATTTCTCTCATGGCCAGTGATGGTGAGCATTTTTTCATGCGTTTTTTGGCTGCATACATAAATGTTTTCTTTTGAGAAGTGTCTGTTCATGTCCTTCGCCCACTTTTTGATGGGGTTGTTTGTTTTTTTCTTGTAAAGTTGTTGGAGTTCATTGTAGATTCTGGATATTAGCCCTTTGTCAGATGAGTAGGTTGCGAAAATTTTCTCCCATTTTGTGGGTTGCCTGTTCACTCTGATGGTAGTTTCTTTTGCTGTGCAGAAGCTCTTTAGTTTAATTAGATCCCATTTGTCAATTTTGGCTTTGGTTGCCATTGCTTTTGGTGTTTTAGACATGAAGTCCTTGCCCATGCCTATGTCCTGAATGGTAATGCCTAGGTTTTCTTCTAGGGTTTTTATGGTTTTAGATCTAACGTTTAAGTCTTTAATCCAAGTTGAATTAACTTTTGTATAAGGTGTAAGGAAGGGATCCAGTTTCAGCTTTCTATATATGGCTAGCCAGTTTTCCCAGCACCATTTATTAAATAGGGAATCCTTTCCCCATTGCTTGTTTTTCTCAGGTTTGTCAAAGATCAGGTAGTTGTAGATATGCGGCGTTATTTCTGAGGGCTCTGTTCTGTTCCATTGATCTATATCTCTGTTTTGGTACCAGTACCATGCTGTTTTGGTTACTGTAGCCTTGTAGTATAGTTTGAAGTCAGGTAGCGTGATGCCTCCAGCTTTGTTCTTTTGGCTTAGGATTGACTTGGTGATGTGGGCTCTCTTTTGGTGCCATATGAACTTTAAAGTAGTTTTTTCCAATTCTGTGAAGAAAGTCATTGGTAGCTTGATGGGGATGGCATTGAATCTGTAAATTACCTTGGGCAGTATGGCCATTTTCACGATATTGATTCTTCCTACCCATGAACATGGAATGTTCTTCCATTTGTTTGTATCCTCTTTTATTTCATTGAGCAGTGGTTTGTAGTTCTCCTTGAAGAGGTCCTTCACATCCCTTGTAAGTTTGATTCCTAGGTATTTTATTCTCTTTGAAGCAATTGTGAATGGGAGTTCACTCATGATTTGGCTCTCTGTTTGTCTCTTATTGGTGTATAAGAATGCTTGTGATTTTTGTACATTGATTTTGTATCCTGAGACTTTGCTGAAGTTGCTTATCAGCTTAAGGAGATTTTGGGCTGAGATGATGGGTTTTCTACATATACAATCATGTCATCTGCAAACAGGGACAATTTGACTTCCTCTTTTCCTAATTGAATACCCTTTATTTCCTTCTCCTGCCTAACTTCCCTGGCCAGAACTTCCAACACTAGGTTGAATAGGAGTGGTAAGAGAGGGCATCCCTGTCTTACGGCCAGTTTTTGCCCATTCAGTATGATATTGGCTGTGGGTTTGTCATAGATAGCTCTTATTATTTTGAGATATGTCCCATCAATACCTAATTTATTGAGAGTTTTTAGCATGAAGGGTTGTTGAATTTTGTCAAAGGCCTTTTCTGCATCTGTAGAGATAATCATATGGTTTTTGTCTTTGGTTCTGTTTATATGCTGGATTACATTTATTGATTTGCATGTATTGAACCAGCCTTGCCTCCCAGGGATGAAGCCCACTTGATCATGGTGGATAAGCTTTTTGATGTTCTGCTGGATTTGGTTTGCCAGTATTTTATTGAGGATTTTTGCATCAATGTTCATCAAGGATATTGGTCTAAAATTCTCTTTTTTGGTTGTGTCTCTGCCAGGCTTTGGTATCGGGATGATGCTGACCTCATAAAATGAGTTAGGGAGGATTCCCTCTTCTTTTGTTGATTGGAATGGTTTCAGAGGGAATGGTATCAGTTCCTCCTTGTACCTCTGGTAGAATTCGGCTGTGAATCCATCTGGTCCTGGACTCTTTTTCGTTGGTAAGCTATTGATTATTGCCACAATTTCAGAGCCTGTTATTGGTCTATTCAGAGATTCAACTTCTTCCTGGTTTAGTCTTGGGAGGGTGTATGGGTCGAGGAATTTATCCATTTCTTCTAGATTTTCTAGTTTATTTGCATAGAGGTGTTTGTAGTATTCTCTGATGGTAGTTTCTACTTCTGTGGGATCGGTGGTGATATCCCCTTCTTCATTTTTTATTGCGTCTATTTGATTTTTCTCTCTTTTCTTCTTTATTAGTCTTGCTAGAGGTCTATCAATTTTGTTGATCTGGATTCATTAATTTTTTGAAGGGTTTTTTGTGTCTCTATTTCCTTCAGTTCTGCTCTGATTTTAGTTATTTCTTGCCTTCTGCTAGCTTTTGAATGTGTTTGCTCTTGTTTTTCTAGTTCTTTTAATTGTGATGTTAGGGTGTCAATTTTGGATCGTTCCTGCTTTCTCTTGTGAGCATTTAGTGCTATAAATTTCCCTCTACACACTGCTTTGAATGTGTGCCAGAGATTCTGGTATGTTGTGTCTTTGTTCTCGTTGGTTTCAAAGAACATCTTTATTTCTGCCTTCATTTTGTTACGTACCCAGTAGTCATTCAGGAGCAGGTTGTTCAGTTTCCATGTAGTTGAGCGGTTTTGAGTGAGTTTCTTAATCCTGAGTTCTAGTTTGATTGCACTGTGGTCTGAGAGACAGTTTGTTATAATGTGTGATCTTTTACATTTGCTGAGGAGGGCTTTACTTCCAAGTATGTGGTCAATTTTGGAATAGGTGTGGTGTGGTGCTGAAAAAAATGTATATTCTGTTGATTTGGGGTGGAGAGTTCTGTAGATGTCTATTAGGTCTGCTTGGTGCAGAGCTGAGTTCAATTCCTGGGTATCCTTGTTAACTTTCTGTCTGGTTGATCTGTCTAATGTTGACAGTGGGGTGTTAAAGTCTCCCATTATTATTGTGTGGGAGTCTAAGTCTCTTTGTAGGTCACTCAGGACTTGCTTTATGAATCTGGGTGCTCCTGTATTGGGTGCATATATATTTAGGATAGTTAGCTCTTCTTGTTGAATTGATCCCTTTACCATTATGTAATGGCCTTCTTTGTCTCTTTTGATCTTTGTTGGTTTAAAGTCTGTTTTATCAGAGGCTAGAATTGCAACCCCTGCCTTTTTTTGTTTTCCATTTGCTTGGTAGATCTTCCTCCATCCTTTTATTTGGAGCCTATGTGTGTCTCTGCACATGAGACGGCTTTCCTGAATACAGCACACTGATGGGTCTTGACTCTTTATCCAATTTGCCAGTCTGTGTCTTTTAATTGGAGCATTTAGTCCATTTACATTTAAAGTTAATATTGTTATGTGTGAATTTGATCCTGTCATTATGATGTTAGCTGGTTATTTTGCTCATTAGTTGATGCAGTTTCTTCCTAGCCTCGATGGTCTTTACCATTTGGCGTGATTTTGCAGTGGCTGGTACCGGTTGTTCCTTTCCATGTTTAGTGCTTCCTTCAGGAGCTCTTTTAGGGCAGGCCTGGTGTGACAAAATCTCTCAGCATTTGCTTGTCTGTAAAGTATTTTATTTCTCCTTCACTTATGAAGCTTAGTTTGGCTGGATATGAAATTCTGGGTTGAAAATTCTTTTCTTTAAGAATGTTGAATATTGGCCCCACTCTCTTCTGGCTTGTAAAGTTTCTGCCGAGAGATCCGCTGTTAGTCTGATGGGCTTCCCTTTGTGGGTAACCCGACCTTTCTCTCTGACTGCCCTTAACATTTTTTCCTTCCTTTCAACTTTGGTGAATCTGACAATTATGTGTCTTGTAGTTGCTCTTCTCAAGGAGTATCTTTGTGGTGTTCTCTGTATTTCCTGCATCCAAATGGTCGCCTGCCTTGCTAGATTGGGGAAGTTCTCCTGGATAATATCCTGCAGAGTGTTTTCCAACTTGGTTCCATTCTCCCCGTCACTTTCAGGTACACCAATCAGATGTAGATGTGGTCTTTTCACATAGTCCCATATTTCTTGGAGGCTTTGTTCGTTTCTTTTTATTCTTTTTTCTCTAAACTTCCCTTCTTGCTTCATTTCAGTCATTTCATCTTCCATCACTGATACCCTTTCTTCCAGTTGATCGCATTGGCTCCTGAGGCTTCTGCCTTCTTCATGTAGTTCTCGAGCCTTGGCTTTCAGCTCCATCAGCTCCTTTAAGCACTTCTCTGTATTGGTTATTCTAATTATACATTCGTCTAAATTTTTTTCAAAGTTTTCAACTTCTTTGCCTTTGGTTTGAATTTCCTCCTGTAGCTCGTAGTAGTTTGATCATCTGAAGCCTTCTTCTCTCAACTCGTCAAAATCATTCTCCGTCCAGCTTTGTTCCGTTGCTGGTGAGGAGCTGCGTTCCTTTGGAGGAGGAGAGGCGCTCTGCTTTTTAGAGTTTCCAGTTTTTCTGCTCTGTTTTTTTCCCATCTTTGTGGTTTTATCTATTTTTGGTCTTTGATGATGGTGATGTACAGATGGGTTTTTGGTGTGGATGTCCTTTCTGTTTGTTAGTTTTCCTTCTAACAGACAGGACCCTCAGCTGCAGGTCTGTTGGAGTTTGCTAGAGGTCCACTCCAGACCCTGTTTGCCTGGGTATCAGCAGCAGAGATTGCAGAACAGTGGATTTTCGTGAACTGTAAATGCTGCTGTGTGATCGTTCCTCTGGAAGTTTTGTCTCAGAGGAGTACCCGGCCGTGTGAGGTGTCAGTCTGCCCCTACTGGGGGGTGCCTTCCAGTTAGGCTGCTCAGGGGTCAGGGGTCAGGGACCCACTTGAGGAGGCAGTCTGCCCGTTCTCAGATCTCCAGCTGCGTGCTGGGAGAACCACTGCTCTCTTCAAAGCTGTCAGACAGGGACATTTAAGTCTGCAGCGGTTACTGCTGTCTTTTTGTTTGTCTGTGCCCTGCCCCCAGAGGTGGAGCCTACGGAGGCAGGCAGGCCTCCTTGAGCTGTGGTGGACTCCACCCAGTTGGAGCTTCCCAGGCTGCTTTGTTTACCTAAGCAAGCCTGGGCAATGGCGGGCGCCCCTCCCTCAGCCTCACTGCCGCCTTGCAGTTTGATCTCAGACTGCTGTGCCAGCAATCAAGGAGACTCCATGGGCATAGGACCCTCCAAGCCAGGTGTGGGATATAATCTCCTGGTGCGCCGTTTTTTAAGCCCATCGGAAAAGCGCAGTATTAGGATGGGAGTGACCTGATTTTCCAGGTGCCGTCTCTCACCCCCTTCTTTGACTAGGAAAGGGAACTCCCTGACCCCTTGCGCTTCTTGAGTGAGGCAATGCCTCACCCTGCTTTGGCTCACGCACGGTGCGCTGCACCCACTGTCCTGTGCCCACTGTCTGGCACTCCCTAGTGAGATGAACCCAGTACCTCAGATGGAAATGCAGAAATCACCCGTCTTCTGTGTCGCTCATGCTGGGAGCTGTAGACCGGAGCTCTTCCTATTCGGCCATCTTGGCTCCACCTCTTACGTCCATTTCTAATTGCTAATTAAAAGTGACACGTAACTACTTAGATTTGAGAAAAGTCAGGTGATAGTCTCCTTGGCAAAGAGATGAAAATGTAAACTCTGCATCAAGATTATTGCTACTAAACAGACTGCAGTTATAAAATGAGAAAGCTATTCAGAACATACAGTTTGTAACCTTTGGGAAATGGCTTCTTGTTGCCAGCATAATAGTCTGGAAGTTCATCCAAGATAAATGCAAATGCATTTATCAATAGTTTATTCCTTTTTATTGCTAAGTAGTATTCCATGGTATGTATTTACCACAGTTTATTCACTTGTTGAAGGACATCTGGGGTAATTCCAGTTTTTTATTATCACAATAAAGCTGCTATGAATGTCTGTGTGCAGATTTTTGTGTGAGCATACATTTTCATTTCTCTGGGATTGACACCCAGGAGTACAATTTTGGGTCATATGATAGTTGAATGTTTACATTTAAAAAAAAAAAAAAAAAAAAAAAGAAACTTTCAAACTATTTCCAGGATGCCTGTACCATTTTTCATTCCTACCAGCAATGTGTGGGTGATCAAATTTTGCAGCATTCTCACCAGCATTTGGTGTTGTCACAATTTTTAATTTTAGCCTAATGGGTGTATAGTGTTGTGTGTTTAGTTTTATTTTAAAAGGATAAATACACTGCTCTGGGAGGCAAGGGAGAGAGTGACTAAGTCCAGGGAGCAATGGATGTGGGAGTGTTGGGGGCAGTAGAGATCTGGTTAGGAAAGCTTCCAAAAAAAGGTAACATTTGGGTTGGGTGTTTTTGGTTTTTTAGACAGGGTCCCACTCTGTCACCCAGGCTGGAGTGCAGTGGCACAATCATGGCTCACTGTAGCCTTGATCTTTTGGGTGCAAGCAATCCTCCCAACGCAACCCTCCCCAACCCCGTAGCTGGGACTATAGGTGTAAGCCACCATGCTCAGCTGAGCTGGGCTTTTAAAAACTAAGTAGATGTTCAGAAACTGGAGAGAAAGGAAGAATACATCCAGCATAACGAATAAAATATTCAAAACCAAGGAGACATGTGAGAGCATAAAGCACGGAGAGAAGGTTTACATAGGTGGAGCCCAGCATGCCATGCTTGCACGAGGAGAGTGGGAAGAAAAAGGGAAAAGAGAAAGGAATCAATGCAGGTGGAAAATGACTTGTGTGTCATACCAGGGATTCCAGCTGTGTGCTGCAAGTACAAGGAAACCCTCTGGTATGATAAGGACAATGACAGGGCTGTTTCCATGCACTATTAACTATACCTCACAATGTCACCCGTATCTGTCCCCTCCCTTTCTTTTCTCACTATCATTCTAACTCAGAGGCTCACCATACCTTGCCTGGAGAACCCTGCTTCAATTAACCCCACCTACTGATACCAAAGTCATTCTCCTTAGTCTCAGAGCCCATAGTATGTTATTTCTCCTTCAGAAATCTTTGTTGGCTCTTTTCTCTGAGCAGAACAAAGTCTGAACTCCTGAGAGTGCATTTAACAGAGGTGATGTGGTGCTACTGTTTCCCTCTGAGAAGATAAGCTCCAGGTTTATGGGGCCGATTTCTATTCTCCATATGGGTAGTGCTTTTTACAGCTCCTAAGCTAGAAACCCATGTTTCCTCTACCTCCTTAGCCTACAGAAGTGCTCCTGATTCTGAAAGACTCAGGCTCAATGTCACTTGTTCTGTGAGGGTTATACTAATCCCCTTCCTTCCTCCACTCCCAAATTTATGCTAATCACTCTTACTTTGGGTTTCACCACTATTTTACTCATATCACCATTAAAGTGTTTATTTCATCCTACTTTGCATTACGGTTAGCCTACAAATTTTCTCCTCAAATAGACTGTAAACTATTTGATGCCAAGCTTTGTGATATGGATGTAAAGTAGAAACTTGAGTTGTGCATTTATTTAATATCAATGCACCTATGTGCCCAGGATTTGGTTATATCTTAGGGAAGGTATATAAACTCCAAAAGAGTGTAGAAACTAGGAAGGGGATACAATATGTTTAAAAAATAGTAACGTAAAGCAGAATATAATTTGTTTCTTAAAAAGCCAAAATTGACAAATGGGATCTAATTAAACTAAAGAGCTTCTGCACAGCAAAAGAAACTATCATCAGAGTGAACAGGCAAACTACAGAATGGGAGAAAAGTTTTGCAATCTATCCATCTGACAAAGGGATAATCTCCGGAATCTACAAAGAACTTAAAAAAATTTACAAGAAAAAAACAACATCATCAGAAAGTGGGTGAAGGATATGAACAGACACTTCTCAAAAGAAGACATTTATGTGGCCAAAAAACATATGAATAAAAGCTCATCATCACTCATCATTAGAGAAATGGAAATCAAAACCACAATGAGATACCATCTCACACCAGTTAGAAAGGCGATCATTAAAAAGTCAGGAAACAACAGATGCTGGAGAGGATATGGAGAAACAGGAATGCTTTTACACTGTTGGTGGGAGTGTAAATTAGTTCAACCATTGTGGAAGAGACAGTATGGTGATCTAGATCAAGGATCTAGAACCAGAAATACCATTTGACCCAGCAATCCCATTACTGGCTATATACCCAAAGGATTATAAATCCATCTACTATAAGACACATGCACACATATGTTTATTGCGGCACTGTTCACAATAGCAAAGACTTGGAACAAACCCAAATGCCCATCAATGATAGACTGGATAAAGAAAATGTGGCTCATATACACTGTGAAATACTATGCAGCCATAGAAAAGGATGAGTTCATGTCCTTTGCAGGGACATGGATGAAGCTGGAAACCATCATTTTCACCAAACTAACACAAGAACAGAAAACCAAACAACATATGTTCTCACTCATAAGTGGGAGCTGAACAATGAGAACACATGGACACAGGGAGGGGAACATCACACACCACGGCCTCTCGGGGTGTGGGGGGCTAGGGGAGGGATAGCATTAGGAGAACTACCTAATGTAGATGACGGGTTAATGACTGAAGCAAACCACCATGGCACATGTATACCTATGTAACAAACCTGCACCTTCTGCACATGTAGCTCAGAACTTAGAGTATAATAATAATTTTTAAAAAATTAGCCATATGTGGCAGTTCACATTTGTAATCCCAGCTACTCAGGAGAAGACTGAGGCACAATCATCACTTGAACCTGGGAAGTGGAGGTTGCAGTGAGCCGAGATGGCACCACTGCACTCCAGCCAGGACCACAGAGCAAGACTGTCTCAAATTTAAAAAAAAAAATTATTGATATATGATAAGAAATAAAACCAATTTTTCACCGTACAGAGTAAAAAAGAATAATGCAAACAAAAAGCCACATTTTCTCTATATGCCTCTAAAATGTGACTCTGTGTCTAACTTTATTTCATTTGAGGTTCTCCAGAAACATTTTCCCACAATTAAAAAAAAATGAAAACAAAAAGCAAAAAGCCAGGTTTGCAAAAACTGTGGCAAAGTCTACTTTAAACTTTTATTTTGCACTTATTTTTATTTAAAATAAACTGTAGTGTAAACTTGCTATTTTATCAAAATAATTAAACATAATGGAATATTAAAAACTATTTCTACACAGTAAGGACTCTAACAATAAAAGAAACCAAAAAGAACGTGGTAGTATAGTTTTTAAAATGCATAATATTTATGCAAACCTCAAATCCACTTCTGATAAATGTATGCAGATGTAAAAGGTGAGTAGCACATCAACAGTACTGCCAGTTCCGGACACTTTTCAAACACAAGGTCTCAAATGACAACACTCCCAAGAATGAGGTCATGGTGACCGTTCATTACTTCTAAGATGTGACCAAACTATCTGTAGTAGCTTTTAACAATAAAAATATAATCAGAATTCTTAGAACAAATATATAGGATGCAATAAAAAATTTATCCCTCAGTGATGTGTCAATGAATGTGTTGATCTCACTTGAATTTTATGCGAAAGACTTGACATCTCCTGCCTTTTTTTGGTAATTTACATAAGTTATCCTCTAAATCAAGATAAAGTAAATGTCACCTTTCTCTAATAGAATCAGTATTCTATTTCTACAGTGTAGTTATGGTACTCAATGTGTCTTCAATTTAACGAAAAGGAAAGAGGAATATATGTCATACTGACTTCCTAAAGTGTTTAAAATAAATATCACAAACATGTAAAGGCTAAAGTAGGATTACTGGGACCTCTTCTCCCCTGGACACACAATTATTAGGATTTGATGACTAGGACTGTATTTGGGGTTCTTATATAAACTAGGTTTTTATTGTTTCATTTTATTTCATCGGGTCAAGCAAATATTCTTTAACTGTAAAAGAAATTTAGAAATATACAGGTCATGACTTTTATTATCTTCTAAAATTATAGCTAGTATCTCAACTATATCTTTGGATAGGCCTTTAATCAATTTTTAATCACATTCTCTACAAGTACCAGGCACCGCAATCAAAATTTCCTTCTAACTTATTGGACCTGAAAGGAGCATAATCTTTTGGAAATTCCAACACACTCAGTTGAACACACAGATTTCCTCGAAGCCAAATTTTATTTTAGCACTCTTCTTTTCTGATTAGAAAATGAAAATGAAACATATTTAACCATTGTGTGTATCAAAGAAATTGAATGACTGTACCTCCAAAGGGAAGCTCTGCTGGCTGGACAATACCCACATAAACTAATGCTAGTGAGGTTCAGTGTAGCCAAAAGGGGAATTGCTTCTTATAAAAGTGATTTTTTTAATGTTTAATTTTTTTTTCAGTTTTTCCTTTTCCTTTAAGATTGAAGACAGTCTGAAAGAGTGTTATGAGGCTGAAAGAGTGTTATGAGGCTAAACAAAGGAACAAAGGAACACACTGGAGAGAAGAATCAGGGTGAAAAAAGAGCCATGGCAGGGAAATGCCATGAAAGTTTCTGATGAATCTATTTTATTGTATTAAAGTGTAATCAGAAAATAAATTCAAACAGGAAAGAAAGGAGAGAGCCTTCAAAAGTCTGCCATTGTTTCAAAAGCAGACCAAAAGAAAAGTAACACTAAATTAATGCTTCTCATCTGATTAGTGTTTGGAAATTACATTCCACTTTCACCTACATACTTTTTCTTTCCTAATACTTCAAAAAGGTAAAAAAGTTAGTTTCACACCACCTACCACTGCAGCGTTCAACTATAGGCATGGCATACCTTCTCTTCACGTCTCTCTGCAGAGAATCTGCCTTCTCTGTCTTTAAACATGCAAAGAGTAGTGGATTCAATCATCCATGGTGTGAAGAAAGTCTGCTAAGACTGCATGGATCCGACAAGATGGTGGATAGTTGACTTCCTGAGCATAACTAACCCTGCTGGTCAGAGCTTACGTCATGTACTGTATTGTAGACGCTGCACCTTTACTTCATATAACTTCTGATTATGCAATCGGTGTAAGATATTCCCTTAATGACACATTTGACAGGATTAAAGGGCACTCTGGGGGTTTCTCTACAAATAAGATAAATCTGTAAAATGTTATTGGCAAAATCTTTCTAATTAAATCCACATGAATGGGACAGCTGCAACTTTACTGCAAAACTCTTAGTGAACCCTTAGTTCTATTTGTGAAATTTAAGCCTTCAAACAATGATTGGGGAGTCAGAAATGAAAGATAACGGCTACCAATAGAGTTGGATTTGCAAAAATATTTTACATCTTTTTATAGTTTGTCATCTAAGACATGTTTAGTCTAAAAGCAGAAGCCATGAATATAATTTCTGTGGCCTGGGTGCTGGCCATATGAGACTCATATGGCCTCAGACAGAACACACTGAGTCAGCCTTGTGGTCTAGCGTGAGGAGCTCATATCCATGGAATGGAGCCCCACGTGCACCAAACAGCTAATGGAATTGAGTCATCAGTGTCTGTGGGCTAAGTCACTTGTTTCCAAACCAAGGAGCTCTTTAGAATACAGATTCCCAGACCACACCCTGGATCTAATACACCTACATCTCTGAGAGTAGGGCCCATGGATGTGTACTTTTCAAAGGCTTCACAGGTGATTAAGATAATCAGTCAAGTTTGAACCAGAGGACCAAATTAAAATTAATCTACGTGGGCATGAAGAGTGGGAGTAAGGTCTTCCATCTGCTCACAGACAAAAAAAAAAAGCCTCTAGAAGTCTGATTATTCACTTATTTCTCACCTACATGTTAGTGAGTTTGACTGATTAAATGATTTATTTTCTCTCTAAAAGCTCTAAAAATTTTCTTTTAATCTTGAGGTTGGAAATTTCAGTAGGATGTAGACACATAAGTGCACCCTTTTAATCTGAAGACTCAAATCTTCAGCTCAAGGGAAATTCCTCTGTTACCTCCTTTTCATCTTTTCCATTTACTATGTTCATGTTCTCTTTTCTGGAACTCCTGTTAAGTGTTTTTTAATTAATTATTTTCCTTGCATTAGATTTTTTTCTACTTTGCCAATCTATAACCACTGTTGTCTTCTCTAATTACTCATCTTCCTAAGAGCCTTATCTTTCTCCTCCTTCTCCTCTCCCTCCTTTTTCTTCTTTCCTTTTAATAGATAATCACCACTTGATTCTCTCTAAAGATCTGTAAAAAGTGTCTTTGGTTAAGTTTTCATCTGTTCCTTGAATTATTTATTTTATAACCTTGGATCAGTGGCTCTGTTAGTTCATCCTTGTCCTCCTATTGGTTTTCATCAATCCTCTGTGGTGATATAGGTCTGATGTTCCACCAGGTCTCAACTGTGAGTGAAAAGGCTACTTTTAGGTTCTATGTAAATATTTAAGGTGGGTCTACTGGACAGTGTCTGTTAAGTTTCCTGAGGCATGGACTGGCAGGTAGGCAAGGAGCTCATGCCCTCTCCTGACTGCCAGCCTAGGAAGGTGATGAGTTCAGCAGAGAAGCACTTCAAGGTTTAACCTCCTGACAGCAGAGTGCTCCTTTTTTTTTCCTGGCTTCATGCCCGTGGGCATCTCAAGTCAGTCCACAATCTGATCTTCTTCTTGCTCAGACCCGAAAGAGATTAATTTTGATAATACTTTTCAGACTTAGCCTGACATTGAGTTCTATTTGTGCTTGCCATTTAGTATAGTGGCGTAAATGATAGGACAGAACAGTTGTACTGTTCAGATTTTAGCTCCTGTTTAATTACTGTGATGGCTGTCACTTGATCTCCTTCTCTACATTAGGTCACTCTCAGCTTGGGGATTCTCAGGATTGTGTCCTTTCTAACTTGCAAAAATTCTCACAATTTTCTACCGGCTGATGACATTCTTTCTCTCTTGCCAACACTATTCTGAATTTCTCTCTCTTTCTCTCTCTCTCTCTCTCTGTGTGTGTGTGTGTGTGTGTGTGTGTAATCTTTTTTAGGTCACATAAGGAATTTAGGGCAGGAGGAGAGCTAGATGTGTGTTCAGTTCAATCTCCTCCTACAATACCCTCTCTTAGATTACTCCCATATTAAACCACTGACACATTTAACCACAAAAATACAATAACACAAACATTAAACCACATCATTCCTATAAGAAACAAGTTTTTTAAAAGCCATAAAGCTCCTAAGCTAATGATATTTGTTTCTTCATGAAAGCATAAATAGATGAATTACTTTTTATTTGACCATTCTTTTTTATTTTCTTTGTCAGCAAAAGCAGTTTTATCTGACCAGATGCCTTTTTTTGTAGAGGAATATCACTAGAATTGATCAATTAAACCATTTGGCTATATATAAAAGTTTCTATCATTTTCAAAATATTTTCAGAGTAACCTAAAGCAAATCTATCATTGTAACCTACTGTGTCATATAAATGTATAATACAAATGATGCTTACAGCAGATTGTAAAATATCTACATTAATCCTCAGTCCCTTTGATAGTTATAAACCATCTGCAGTTGCTAGTTACACAAAGAAACCATCTCATGCCAAAGCAGAACCACCAGCAAGGGTTACAAATTTATCTTAATCTGTATGCATACTTGCCTTGGAGATTGAATTTTGAAATCATATTATTTGCTATTTGTAAATGTCATTTAGTCACTATCTCCCAAACACCCAGAGTGAAGAGTAAGGAATCACTCATAAGTCACAAACTAATTCTATGTGTTCACTGCGACATTAATCTTAAATATACATATAATCCAATTGGAATGTAAGTTCAAAACTAAGGGCTTCAGAGTATCCTTACCCTATTTCCAATTTACCTGCCAAGGGCAAACTGGGCATGACACTTGACCTGTGACACAAATTTGCCTATCTTGCACTCATACATTCAGTTTGGTCTTGAGGTAATGAGACAGTATTCTACATAGATAAAAGTATGAAAGGAGAAAAATAAATTTTTATAGCGAAGAGTAAGTTGTCCAGATGCCTAAAACAACAAACTATATAATTAACCTGTGGGCCACAGGCCATGAAAGCAAGTTAAATGCATATCTAAAAATCAGGAGATGGGAATACAGCTGTTAATAATGCCAAAAAGTATGATTAGTCTTTTCTTTGTTAATTTATAGACATTTTAAAAATCAGTTATATATTAGGTCCCTTGAAATTATGAATTAATAACAAACCATCATTAAAGTAGAAAAAAATCATGAAGAAATCCAGGCATATGCGGGTGGAAGATCCTACAGTATACATGCAATGTAGGCCCCTGACAGAGAGCCAGCAATTGGATAATGTTAAAATGATACATAGGCCATAAGCAAAACAATACATTTTATATATATTAAATATATAAATACATATATTATATATTTATATATAATTTTTAAAAATATATAGCATATATATTTGATATATACTATATAGTCTATATAATATATATTTAATATTTATATTATATACATTTTTAAAAAAATTTAAAATATTTTCCAGTGAAGACACAAAACTCATGTCATGTTGAGTTCAGGGAGAGAAACAAATAATAACCTTTTATTTAGTGTGTAGAGATTATTTTTCAAATCTGAAGTGGTATGAGGATTTCAAGCAGGGAAATCTGAGGAATAAAGCATCCATGCAGTATAAATTTGCTAGGACCTCCACAAAAAAGAAACACTGGGTGACTTAAACAACAGGCATTTATTTTCTCACATTTCCAAAGGCTAGAAGTCCAAGGCCAAGATGTAAACAGCATTGCTTTCTTCTGAAGGGCTGTGAGGGGAGTGTCTGTTGCAGGCACCTCTGCTGGGCTCCTAGGTGGCTGTCTTCTTCCTGTGCCTTCACATCATCTTCTCTCTGTGTCAGTGTCCAAATTTCCTCTTCTTATAAGGACATCAGTCATGTTGGATTAGACTGGCCCTAATGACCTCATTTTAACTTAGTTGTCTTTGTAAATACCCTGTCTCGAAATATGGTCACATTCTGAGGTACTGGGAGTTCGGACTTCAACATATGGATTTTTGAGGGAACATAATTCAGCCCATATATACATGCTATGTATTTTTGCTAAGATGTTTTTTGGAGTCTTTGTTTTAGTTTGTTTAAAGAGCTACAGTGAATGGAGGAGTAAAGCCTTTCCACTTAATTCAGAATATGTAAGTTCACCAGAACCCACATAACTGAATTAAATGTCAAGCAAGAGCCCAAAGTAGATGAAGGAAGAAATTCTACATATTCTTTACTAGAAAAGAAGCAGTGACAATTTGAAGGAGACACCTTGATCCATACATTTGGCCCTTACTACCTCATAGTAACAATAATACTATCCAAAGATAGAGATTCATCAACAAATTAGAGAAACACTTTTAATTGCAAAGTGAACAGATAAATTTAGGATTCTTTATGTTAAAATCAGAGTCAATTACGTATGAAACTTCTTTACTGGAAAACACGATAAAGTATTGTGATTATAATGATATGGGATATCAAATCAATGATATTGTTTATTCTCAATTTTTCAGTTTTCTGATATCTATATAGGCTGATTTTCATTATTAGAATAAGTTCGTTAATTGAAGTATTTGGCTTTTTTTGTTTTTAGGTTTGTCTTTTTTATTAAGAGGATATGAGTAGGAATATGAAAAATGTGAGATTTCCTGGGCTTTTTTTTACCCTTAGTGAAAAACCAGGCAGACCTGCCTGAATACCAGTGAAGACTAGCCTATCACTTCCTGCTAACATATTCCATTTCAAAATTTTCACCATGAAACATGTATGCATTTAAAATAAGAAGCTAAAGCAAATCTATTTCAGCAAGGCTTTTGACTTTAGATTTATACTCTCCCCTCCAGACATCATCAGCTCCCTGGAAATGCCACCAATGAGTCTAGGTTGAAAGAAGTCAAAAGCATTGATGTTTCTTGGCAAACACATATTCCTCCCTTCTGACTTTCAATCATAGCTTCAAAACACCATGGGATGATGCTAGGTTCTGCTTCACTTACCTTGGGATGTGGCCTGTTTTAGCTCTTGTGCTGGTGACTCACCAAATACATCTCTTTTATTAATTCTTATATCTATTACTATCAGTCAACACTGAGGCTGAAACAGCTTTTCCAAATGTCAGAAATAAACAGTGTTTTCCTGTAAGCTTGGAGGGGAAAAAATAGATGAGAGCATTGGATATGTAAAACCCTACACTCTATATAATTGGCTTAGAAAACTGTGTTTTTAAATCTGTCTTTTGAAAGTTGGAGCCTATTCTAAAGTTTTAATTGTCCCTACTCAGATTTTGGGGCCAAGATTTGCTTGCCCTATTTTCAGTTTTCTGGTATCTACACAGAAGTTGATTTTCATTATTAAGACAAGATTACTGGTTAAGGTGTTTGTGGGTTTAGGGGTTTTGCCTATGTGTTTGTTCATTTGTTTATTTGGAAGTGTTCCATTTACCATTTACTGATTTTTCCTTAAAAGCCTTCTATCTCTGCTCCTCATAGTTCATAACTATAGTTACTGCGTCTTCTCTTTAAGTGGGAAGGGATAAAGGGACTTGGCCTCTCTAAACACAGAGGCAAAATGTAAACAAACTTAAAGCCTCCTTTTGGTAGAAATTCTACAGAAACCTTCACATGTGTTCAGAGACATATAAAACTATTCATTGAAGTATTGTTTGAAGTAGCAACAAACAGAGAAACTATAATGTCTGTTGATGGAAGAGAATAAATAAACCATGGGTTATCAAATCAATGGAATACTATGCGGCAGTTCAAGAAAATGAGGTGGATCCATGGGTATGTAAGAGACATTTACCAGACATTTAGCCTAGAGACCCATTTCTTGCTTGCAGAGATGGAATATGTGGAGGGTTTAACATGCGTAGCTTGCCCATGTTTGGAGAGATGGAATATGTGGAGGGTTTAACATGTGTAGCTTGCCCATCCCTTATATATGTCCCTATGTGAGCCCAGAAAAAACATTTTTTATAACAAGGCCCTTAGATATTTGATGGAGATACCAGCATTTAGAATATTTAGAAACAAGTATTTGAATAGTGCCTGACACATAGTAAGTGCTCAAAAAATGTTCTCTATTTATATTGTCCATCTACACAGGCACCTACAGCATTAAATGGAATAATTTTACACTGGGGAATGTGAAACACACCCTTTGTACTACTGCTTGCTGGCTTTGAGCTAACACTAATTCCTGGGGACTGGGAATAGCTCTATAGTCTACGAATCAGATTAAGGGCATAGGGGATTCAGGTTTAAAATGGAATGTTAGCATCCTCATCAGTGGGCCCCGCTGGAATCAATTATGTGGTTATCTGTAATAACACACTCAGGAGCTGAAGAACTGATACCCTGAATCACAGAGCCTCCCGCCAATATAGGCTTCCTAATTCAAAGAGTAAAGAATATGGAAATAAGTAATAAATGATATACTCTGAAACATCTCTCCCTACCACAATATTTAACCAAAAGCCAAACTGCAACTCTGAGGACTGACCAGTGTCATATCAACAATGAAGACTGGAAATGCCGGGGACACATTCCCAGACCTCCCAGTGGATGCCTAAAACTGCAAATAGTACTGCATCCTATATACTATGTTCTTTTCCTATACATACATACCTCTGATTAAGTTAAATTTATAAATTAGGAATAGTAAGATATTAACAACAATGACTAATAACAAAATAGGACAATTATAACAATATACTATAATAAAAGTTACGTGAATGTGGTCTCATTTTCTCCCCAACCACCACCCCCCCCATATCTTATTGTACTGTGTTTACCTGTTTTAGTGGGTAACTGAAACCATGGAAAGCAAAACCACAGATAAAGGGGGACTACTGTATATGCACGGTTACTTCTATTTCATTGTCTTTTGATTCTCTACTTGGTTGATGAAAGAGCTAGACAGATCCTGGAGAGTACAGGTGGTGAACATCAGCTGTGAAGTAAACCTTTGCATAGAAGCACTCCATTATCAAATAAAAGTAGATTTAGGAATGAGGTTTGAACAAGCCTGAAAATCCAAGTAAATCAAAAAGGGAGATTTCTTATGCTTATTCTGGTCTAATTGCAAAGCTGCTGTATTGCAAGAACTGGATCTTGGGAGCCATTTCCATCAGACTGTGACTACCCTGGCCTGTTCAGAAAAACCATCCCTCTCAAGAAATAGAGGCATCACATGTCCCTAGACTGGTACAATTAGACCTTTGGTTTTAAAGACCCTTTGTTCTGCATCCAAGATCACCAGGCAGCTTCTGATTCCTAAGTTGCTTGACTTTGAGGAAAGAACAGGCTAATGATACAGATTTTATCCCTGAAATCATTGTACTTTTCCCATGGTTTCTAGCCATGATGAAGTCTCTAACGGAGGTTTGTCTCCAGGGGAAAGACTGTGGTGATCATGCTCTTGCATGTACTCCCAGGCCACATAGTAGTTATATTTTCCTTTGTTAATAAATTGTCATTTTTATGTTGACCTCAGTCATGCAAGTATTTTGGTAAGCATGAGTCAGATTCTCAGGGCCTGATCACTCCTGAGAAATGCAAATCTTTAGGGCTTCAAAAGAACCATATGTAGCCAGTATCTTTCTTAGATGACATGGCATATAGGAACACATGTCCCTTTGGACTCTTTTGGGATGTTTTCACTTCCTTCCTCTTTCCTTTGTACATTCATTCTGTGCCTGATGTTCCCATTTTTATTTCTTCACCACTATTTCATAATAATTTGATTTCTAGTTATCCTTCTATTCCTAGGTCTTCACTAGAGATACCAGGAGAGTTTTCTGGGAACCCATGGTTTTGCTGACACTGCTATTGTTGTCATTAGAGATCATGGTCATATGATGAACCTAGGCCAGGACCCAGTTTTTCCTTCTCTATCCAACTGTGTCTAGGAACAATTGATACTTGATGTCTACCCAGCTAGAAAACTGGCTTCTTTATGGGTTCCTGGTATTCTGTTTCCTGAGAGATACATATGCTTATTGGTGGCTTTCCTGAGAACGCCCTGCATTTGCCTATTGCCCAAACCTGCTGCCAAAGCCAATACTCTTTATTTCCTGAATCTTACTCAAATACATTAAGCTGGATTCAATAAAGCAGTTTTCTGCTGACCTGTCAAAAAACCAACCCCAGAAATGATTAAACTTTTCTCAAGTCCTCTTCCAAACAAGTACTGGACTGCCCAGAGATTTATCTTGGCAAAACTTGGACACAGCAAACCTGGGGCATGCTGGGTAGAAATCCCATCATTAATCCTCAAAGAAGTGACTGAATTTACTTGGCATTCACCTTTGGCCTTTGGTCAAACATGTAAGAATTTTTTCTTAGTGACAAAACAGAACTAAAGGCACTCAGAAGAGAAATGGAGAAATGGAGAGAGAAAAGAGGGAAGGAGAATGGAAGCATAAATAAAAATGTTTCTTTTGGCTTATGGATCAGACTGATGTGTTATAGGCAAATCCCAAATGCAGACTGAAATTTATTTTATATTGTATTATTTTGTAACTGGCTTTCTAAGAGTAAATTCCCCCAGGGGAACTGTTACATCCTAAGATTTTACAATGGAAGAGCATAGAAGTTTTAAAAATTGTTTTAAAAATTATTATTTCTCCAATTCATGAGTTAGCATCTGAATCATAATAGAATAAACGACTCACTCCAAAAAGAAAGATGCATTAGCATTCCTACATAAGGTTAGTATTTTTTAACTATTTTAAAATCAAGTAGTTGTGTCACCTAAAATAAAAGGTTTAGATTGGTTGCATTTTGAAAAGTCACTTTTTTTCAAAGCCACAGGGCTCTTATACTAGGGCAGTTAGTAAACAATCACATTTTCTCATATATCTAGTTTAGTCTGCTTAGAAGATGTCCCATTTCAAATACATGCTTCAATTAACTAATCACTTTTATATGGGGCACCCTATAACATCATTGCACATACATCTGAACTTGTACTAATATACATGATATAAAATTAATTAACATATAAGATTTTATTTTTCAAACCTCGTTTACAGGAAAAATTTGTCCTGCATCAATAAAACTAGTAACTTAATACACACACACACACCCCACTATAGAAGTATAAAAACAATAATGATGGTAGAATTTACATCTTTAGAAGCCACTAGTTCATTTTACATATGAAGAAACTGACAGAGAGAATTATAAGTTAGATGACATCTGATTTCAAGATAGTAAAGACATTTTTGCCCACTTCTTTTAAAAATCACTCTCAAAAGACATGGGTAACAAAAACTTTAACTTCTGTGCAACTAGGAGATCTCTATAACCCTGAGCCAAATATATGATTGCAGAAAGCATATGGGGAAATGGTAAATGACTCATCAGGAAGATAAAACCTACTGGCATGACATCAATGAGAAGCAAGCCAATCTGATCCTCAGAACCCTGGAAATTCTCAGGAAATGGAGATGGCAGTCATTATTTAAGCCAGTTTGAAAGTCCATATAGGGAGCAGTGAAAACTTCAGGTCCCTGTCTCTACAGCTGGGCAACCATACCTCTCCCATCTCACCCAACTACTAACCCAGTGCCTGAATGGGACATCAAGCACAGAGGAGGCTGGGGCACAGTGCTTTACTGAAAACTGGAGATTCAATTTTATCTGCATAAAAAAAACAATAAAATCCCTAAGCCCCTCTGCCTGCCCAGAGTCAATATGCTAAAAGCCATCACTGCACCCCACAGGAAGGAAGTTGGAAAATCCTTTTTCTGAGGATCGTTCCAGAATAAAAATCAACAGAAACTCATATTTGGAGGGAAAAGACTGCTAGCCATCTTGATAATATCCATCAGTCTATATGTCCCATCCAAACACACTGATTCCAATCAGTATTTTACTGCTTCTCTTTGAAATATAAATAGATAGGCAAGGGTAATCAGACATTTGAGAAATGTGAAAAATGGAGATAAGATCTGCCTTGCTGGGCTTTGTAATAATTACATGAATTTATAAATTCACAGCATCTGGCAGAGTGAAGGTACCTGTAATGCATCCATGGAATTCTTATATAATATAGAATTAAAATTATATGTATTTTCCCCTCTGAAAATAAATTAATATTCTTCTTCACAATATGTCTTTAAGGATAGCATCGGAGCATTTAGCTGTTTGCTGCTGCCCTTGTTGCAGTTGTTTTTTAATAAAGAGGAAGGACTTGGCAGTTTCATGAGGGAAGCTTAAAGCAATAGATGCTATAAAACCTGGAACATTTATTATCTGTAATGCACATTCATGGGTAGTTACACATTTAGCAACACAAAGAAACTAAAAGTCTTTAAAGGCACATTCTTCTTTAGAGGTGTTTCCATTATAACCCCTCCTGTCTATCTGAAGCTTCTCAAAAGAGTCCCTGGGTCAATATAAATAGGTTGCAAACCAGATAATACCTTATTATATGAATTAACAGTATATTTGCTCTGTAATACTGAAAAAAGGAACTGTCTCATAATACAATTAGAGAAAACACAGTAAACCATATTTCTAAATAGACTATCTGATCACCAATGTTCTTTTCCCTATTACCAACTCCAGCAGTTTCTAACAGTTCTACGCCTCACACAGGGATCTTTGCTGTGGATACTTGTGAGGCTGCTCACTGGTTATTCCCTCTTCCTTGAATAACACGGCCCAGATGATACTTTTGCCAACTCTCAAACCAAGTGGTTCAGATACAATCAATTCCATCCCTAGGTCTAGGGGTGAACATTTGATCTTTAAGAGTCAATCAGAACATCATTTCCCTATCCGCAAGCACAACAATTCATTAAGCAAAGAGCGCATGACCACATCAGAGATGGTTCCAGACCTTTGGCTATAGACACTAAGTGAGAATTTCTTTCCTTTCTGTTGTGCTTGAATTTGGGAAGACACAAGTCTGCGCTGCTAGGGGACAGCCCAAGGAGAAAGCTCACCTGAGAAGGAAGCCAAATTCTGAAGGGATGTAGCACCAAGATAAAAAGGGTGATTTCATTCTCATTATATCTGTCAACTGGATCTGGCAGTGCTAAAAACAAGAAATACCCTAGACTTCAGAAACATGATCCAATGAGTTCCCTTTCTTGCTTAAGCTAGTTTAGATTAGGTTTTCTTTTCTTTTCTTTTTTTTTTTCTTTTGAGACACAGTCTTGCTCTGTCGCCCAGGCTGGAGTGCAATGGTGTGATCTCGGCTCACTGCAACCTCTGCCTCCGGGTTCAAGTGCTTCTCCTGCCTCAGCCTCCCAAGTAGCCCAGCTTTTTTTTTTTTTTTTTTTTTTTTTTTTTTTTAGTATTTTTACTAGAGACAGTGTCACCATGTTGGCCAGGCTGGTCTTAAACTCCTGACCTCAGGTGATCCGCCCACCTCGGCCTCCCAAAGTGCTGGGATTAGGGGTGTGAGCCACTGCGCCCAGCCCTAGATTGGGTTTTCTATCAAACTACAATAACTGCATCTAATACAACCATGAATTTTTACATAAGTATATTCAAAATAAAACTTTTTAGTATAGTTTCCTCATCAAGTAGGCTAAACCTTCCCCACATATCTCTCACATCTAAATATTTTTCACATCTAAATAGTCTTTCAGCATAAATACAAATCACATTAATAGAGCTGAAAAGTTCTTTATAATCTTTGATTCCCTAACATCAAGTATAATTAATGCAAAGTAAGAAGCGCTTAATGTTTATTGACTGATTTGAAAGTGACAGGCTGAATAAGCAAAAAAATCTCTCACCTTGTCTAACATCAAGCCATGCAGTATAGATTCTCTGTATAGATAATCATTAATCCTAATTTAATTATTTCCAGGAATGGATGGAAACTCTCAATCTCCTTCAATGGAAAGAAAAATATTCAATTAGCTTGTCTAATCCTAATACCAAGTATCTACAATATTCTTAGCACTTGGTTAGAGACTGAAAAAAAACAGTTAAAACTGACATGGCTCTTGCTACCTAGGAACTTATCAGCTAATATGGACAACATATGGGAACAGTTCTAATGGAAATACGGATACATGTATATAAATAAATATATACAAATAATATATAATAAATAACATAATATATAAATAATACATATAATATATATATGAACGTGTACTCGTGGAGCAAGGAACATTATTGTCATCTGCCCAAGCCTCCCAACCTGTAAAAGCATTCTTCAGATGTATCTGTGACAGATAAGTACCCTCTGCATTTGAATACTTGCAGGCACAGAGACCTCACCTCCTCTTAAGGCAGGCCAGAGCACTACTGACAGGGTCACACATCTAGGAATTTTGTCTATATATTAAAACGGTGATTCTGTCCTTTTTGGGCATGATGATACTCCACATAAACTATAGGTCCCTTTCCTTATAAGAGCTTTTCATGTCTGAGGACACAGATCTCACTTGCTTATGAGTATTCTCTTTAAGCTAAGCAAAATTATTTACATAATACTGAATCTCTTCACAATTTTCTAAATATATATTAATTTATTATACAATAATAATGGAAATCATTTATTAAGCAATTGTTCTATGCCATGTATTGTGCTAAGTTCTTTATATACATTACACTTTCTTAAATTCCTCATAACAACTGTTTATGGTACAACAGAAGATAATTTATCTGAGAGTTTAAATACTATAAGCATTCGAATCACTTATTTTTCGTTTTTTAAAAGAAGGCTTTTTATGATTAGACATGTTTAGTCACACCACATAATAGGAGAAGATCAGTTTGTTACAATATGCTGTGCTAAGAGATGGTGTGATCTCCAAGGCTGCAAATGACAGGCAGGTGACGACAAAATGGACAATGTGGTGCTGATTATAAAGAATCATTAGAAAATGATTCTAATGAGGCTCTTTGATGTTGTAAACTTTTTATGAATCCATGGAAATATTAGCATGCTTATATGCTTATGAATATGACACAGTAGAGAGGAAAAAACATGACTGTAAGGAATGCTGTAATTGCTGGGATGATATTCTTGTGAAAATGAGAGAAGTGGGATCCAGTATATAATGGTGGCTATGTGCTGGGTCAAAAGACAATTCATCTCTCTAAAAAATGAAGGAAGGCAAAGTATGTGGGTGCACAGGAAGTGTTGATGATGTGGAAATTCTCATCAGATTGCTTACATTACTTCAGTGAACAGGAAGAATGGTCGTCTCCTGAGAGCAAGAATGAGGAGGTGGTGATAGCATTTGGAGAGACAGGGAAAAGTCTAAAATGGCCATCTGAGTGAGTTGGTGAGAAAATGGATTAGGGATGTAGACAATGATTGCTGGCTGTGCTAGGAGCCCACTTCATGTGGGCGGTCATGAATTGAAAGTGCGGCAAGTCAGCATGGTGGTGGGCTTATCCCCAGCCATGTTTATCCATGATGTAAGTAAAGAATTGTATTTATCCAGAGTTATACATGTGTCAAAGACAAATCCAGAGAGGCACAAAACAGTGATTATAAGGATAAAGCATGAAATTAAGCTTGGTGAACAAGTGATGGAATAGCAAGGGGATAAGAGACAATAAAAGATGGTAGGATCAATGAAGGAGATATACTAATCTTTTTAATTGGACCCATTTTTTAAAGCACTTATTCTCTCAGAATCTTAATTTTGTTATTTGTCACGTTATGTATTTTTGTGTCATGTAAAAATAATGATAAATATAGCATTAATCCACTCATCCATTCACCTATTCAACAAAATTTTACTGATGGATACTAAGTGCCAGATGCTGTGGGATATAAAGTTAAATAAAACTTGACCTCAAGGACATTATAGTCTAGCAAAGAAAACAGGTAAATGAGGAACCACAGTACAGTGTGGTAAGCACCATGAAAAACTCTCTAGGAGTACAGAGCAAAGACCTCTAAATCAGACTTGAGGGTGACAGAAGACTTCCATTAAGAGGGGACACTGGAATGGGGTTTTGAAGATCAAATAGGACTTAGTCAACAAGAGAATGAAAAAGGGCTTTCCACGGTCCATCCAAAGTATGAATCAAAATGGTTACTAGGGTTGGGGTAAGACTAGAAGCTTGTGACATACCCCTAAAGACCACCTCCTAAATTATATAATTTTACTGAGTAGCTACAACTGTCCTACCAGACATCCCGTTTCACACCGATCTGTTTTTCTCCATCTTGTCCATGAAGCCATCTCAAGCAAGTACTTCAAATGCCTTGCCAGAATCAAAACGCCCTATCTAGTTTCTCAGACTTCCCAATCAGGGAACCTATTTAAAGGAGAAATTGGTTTGCCATTTGTTCCTAGAAAATTTAGACAGACCCTTATAATTCGTCACTGAATTTTATCCTAAGTGCTAACAAACCACTTGTTTAATAATCTGGTACAGGATTTTGCCACTAACTGACATCAGACTTATGAATCTGTAACTTGCATGTTTCTAAAGGATGAAATCAGGCTGGGGATCAATATCTCTTTCTGAAAATATTTGAAGGATATGACAGTGTTTGAGAATCACTTTTGTGCTAAGGGAATTGAGAGGGAGAAAGTATTGCCTAAGACAAAGGTTGAAGATAAATAGGGCAAGATAAATGGAAGAAGGAGTCAGTGCAGTGCCCTGGAGAAATGGAGTGATATTTAAGAGGTTTGCATTCAATTCACAGAGAGGAATAATCCAGGTCACCCAGGGTAAAGTCCTTAGAAATCAAAGACAATGTCTTGATTCTGACATCTGGTAAACGGCTCTCTCATAGCTTGAGATAAAAGCCAGACTTACTTGGGGAAACTTGGAAACCTTTTTTAAATAAAACAAAGGAAATTATTTTCTATGACATCACACCAACTCTGCCAACTCCCAGTTTGCAAATGCTTGTCACAATGTTTACAATTAAAAATTCAAATACACAAAGTCCTTGGTTCCACTGCAGTTTAGGAAGGCTGCCAAGAATCTGGGATAATTCCTTCAAGGGAAAAGAAAAAAACCAAACAAACATCAAATTGATGACAAAGAATTACAGCTCAACCCATATAATAGACAATAGAGGGTTAAAGAAATTTCATTAAATGGGTCAGCCCAGGGCCTATCTGATATCAAGGAACTAATTGCCTTTTTTCTCATAATTGTAAAAGTTTATTCCCAAGTTTTGTTTTAGTTGACTTCCTTAGTGCCTACATTAACTTTTCAATCTTAAAATCAAAATACAGACTTAATACTACTTTCATCAAGGTTAAAAGCAATGCCCAACCAAGGATGAGACATGGCCAAGAGAAAAACTACTTTTGATTATCTTCTGGTTAAATCTTATCTAAAAAAAATTTTTTTTAGGCAATGCTTGAGTAAAGTATCTCATGAACAGAAAACTGAATTCTCTGTTCAATTTTTGCTAAAGAAGCAGGAGGTAGAAACTAGAAATCCTAAAATTGCCAAATTTAAAACAGTCTTACTGATTAAATTTCTTCTCAACTTAATATTAAGAACAATTTATTATTATGCCAACAGCAGCTAGCCCTGAAAATAAATATGTTTTCTTTAGGGAAGGCAGCTAAGGCAACTAAAACAATATGCCAATTGTTTCAGGTTAGAAATATCATTGAAATATTATCTATTTCAACATAACAATCTTTTTTTAACCAGCATTATCTATGAAACAGCAACCCAATGTCAGGACTAATTATAGAGATGGATATTTTATTCTATAAATGGGTGTTGTTCCCTATATTGTGTTATATGCCCCGAACAGACAACCAGGCACAAAAGCAAATAATTTTGAAAAATGAGCAAAGGAATAGGTTATATTGCAATGAAATTAACTATATGCTAAATGAATCTGACATTTAATGATGATCATTGTTGTGGTACATAGCAATTATACCTAATTGCCAATTTACATATTTGTTGTAACTAATATTTTAACAATTTTTTTTCCTCTTTACTTCTCGGCATCTACTGTCAATGCTGCTTGACAGTTTTCCTCACTCCATGATAAATTTTAATTCTTATTACTTTATTTCTCTCATACAAGTTAAAACAAGATTCTTTGCTGACACCTCAGAGTTAGGCCCAGGGCTCCTGTCTGTGCCCTGCCAGTGACTAACCCACCCTGGACCAAGACAGTAGTCCTTCAAGTGCCATTTTAACTGCTGTCCCTCCCTTCAGAACCATGGAAGTCCTGATGTCTGAGGCACCAAGAGAATGAAAATGTAGGTTATAGGTCTGCATAGGAGGAGCTGGGGATCTGACAAGTACATGCTGGAAGTAGAATACAGTGAAGTGCTGAGGGGAGCAGGTCAACCTAGGCTGGACAAAAAGGTGGAGAGATAAGTCTGTGAGCTTGCACTCTGATACCTTCAGAGAAAACACAAAGCTGCTTGCTTTTGGCTTTTTCCTGTTTACTTTCTCCCTGACATTTAACCTTCATACTGCATGGATGACTTACAAAGGAGGGATAGTTCAGCTCCAAGTTATTCCATAGGCATCTTTCTTATCTTATGAATTGCTTCCCACTAGGACTTACACAATGCCTCATATACTGTGGGGACTCAATAAATAATTACCAAATGTACTATTTTTAATCATTTTAAAATAAATGGCTCTGTATTAGATGTATCGTGCTCACTAGAACCAGGTTACTGACTGACTTCACTGATTGAAGGTTACTGAATTGTTGATCCATAAACCCTCCAGGCATCTAGGGCATTGCAGGAAGTGCTTCCGCTCAAGTTTCAGTTCCAGGTTGTTATCCAGCGTTCTAGGTCCAAAACAGGTAGAAATCTATTTTCTGCCACAAATCTACATTTTGTCTTAAATAACTGTGTGAATTTAATCCTAGCTGCTTGATCTGAGGGTAGACAATTACACTACTTCAGTTGTCTCATCTTTAAGAAGAGGGGATTATTCACTTAACTAAATTTTATTAAATGGTTTCCTCCTGGAAAGAATGTAGTAGGCACTTCTATGGAGGAGAAACATGGGAGTCTGGTGCCTGTTATTTTCCTTAGGGGCTGTGATCATCCAAAACAGGTAGTAATCTATCATAGTGTAGACATTTGCAAGGAAGGGTATTTAGAAACATCTCTTAATAAACAATGTTAACAGTCAAAGCAATTCTTCCCCTCCACTTTCTTTTCCTTAAATCTTTGCTGGGTCTTAACAAGGACACTGATAAACCACCTTACATTCCCTAGAGTTAGAAAGCTTTTTTTTATTTCTGATCTAAATCCAGGCTGCTATTGCTTAAATCCATTTTCTCTTATTCTATTCTCTTGGAAGACAGAGAAAAATCATTCATCCTCCTCTATATTATAGTCCTTCATGTATTAAAGATTTCAGCCTTCATTTCTCCAGGTTACATAATGCCAATTCCTTTCATTTTACTCATATATCTTATTTTCCAAGCTTTTAAATTAATTCCATTGCACTCCTCTTGGACTCTATGGATAATGAAATAGTTATGCAGCTCCTTTCAGATACTAATTGGGTAATAAACCTTCAGGGAGGGAAGTATTTTTAAATCTTAAATCAGAATCTCACATGATCTGAGATTTAAAACATTTCTGGAGAGCAGAAGGAGGTTGGAAAATGCACATAAAATTGGCACAGAAAGCATGGGAAGAAATGGGAAAGTACCATTTGGATATTATTGTTTTATAAAAAGGAAAGCTGAAGCATGTGTTACAGCAAATAAGTAAAAGATACATGAGTAAAGTCACAATTAAAATAAGCAGCTGCAATTCCTGGTTCCCTACCAAATTGCTGTCAAGTGATTGTGATATCTGATCATAACAATCTTGACTGAAGCTTAAAAAATAAATCACACTATCACAGTTTAATTGGGCAGTGGAAGTTCACCATTCACTGTGTTAATATTATTTTGCTAGAAAATCTTCCAGTTCTCTTTTTTTCTGTTTCCAACTCAGCTTAATAGAACAGTCCTGCTCCACTGATGTGTTCTCCAGAGGGAATCAAACAAAACCTCTGAGACTGTTAATGTATTAGATCTCATGTGATATCTAAAATCAATTACTATGTATATAAAACATTATTTTCATAAATATCCATCAACCAACACATAGATATATCTATACAATGGAATATTATTTGGCCATGCAAACGAAGTACAGTCAACCCTCTGTATCCACAGGTTTCACATCCATAGATACGACCAACCACAGATCAAAAATATTTAGGGAAAAAATAAAAGAACAATAAAAATAATACACATTCTTAAAATACATTTTAACTACTATTTGCATAGCATTTATATTGTATTAGCTATCATAAGTAATCTAGAGATGATTTAAAGTATACAGGAAGACATAAGTTATATGCAAATATTGTGCCATTGTATATAATGGACTTGAGCACACGTGAATTTTGGTATGTGGGGGTGTGTCCTGTGACCAATCCCCCACAGATACCAAGTGATGACTGTATTAATATGCTACAGCATGGATAAACCTTGCAAACGTGATGCTAAATAAGCTAGATACAAAAAGCCAAATACTATATGATTCCATTTGTATGAAATGTCTGGAATGGGTAAATCCATAGAGACAGAAGCAGATTAGTGTTTGCCAAGGGATTGGAGGAAGAGGGACGAGGATCAACTGCTTAATAGGGACAGGATTTCTATTTGGGGTGATGATGAACTACTGAAACTGCATAGTGGCAATCATTGTACAACAGTTGTGAATGTAATAAAAGCATGGGAATAAATGGGAAAGTACCATTTGGACATTATCGTTTTATAAAAAGGAAAGCGGAAGCATGTGTTACAGCAAATAAGTAAATAAGTAAAAACTGTTAAAACGATAAATTTTATGTCATTTGTATTTTATCACAATAAGGAAAATATTACTTGTATTCTCTGGTACTGTATGTACTAATGCAAAATGAAGCCAAGATAAAATAAGACACCACAGTGGTTGACTCTCTTGCAAGTCGGTAATCAGTTGGTTGAGTATTCACTGACAGCCTACTCAGAGCAATGTACTGGGCTAGGTCCTGAGACACAGCAGCAGAGACAGATATGGCTTCTGCCTTGGAAGAGCAGGCAGTTTAACAGGGCATCCATTCTTCTACTTATTCTGTCCTACCAGTGCTATGTTTGCTCTTAGAGGAAAAATAAGAGGAATAAGTAATGCGTGAGCTTTATCAATCCATCATATATATATGTATATAATATACATGATTATATATCTGTAATGAAAATAACCAAAAACAAGTCAAATAGCTGCTTAAATACATAAGAATTCATCTCAGGATTCTAAAATAAGGATTGGCAAATTTACACTTAAATTAACACTTAACCATAATATTATTAGATGCCTAAAAAAAGAGATCGTTTACCTGCACCTCAATTCACAGAAAGGGATCCTTTCGGTATTATACAGTGTTTAACATAAAGAACAAAACACACGAAATAGTTTGGATTATCCAGATTACTGTTCAGTAAATACTTACTCCTCCTACCCTTCACCACCCCTCTGTGGGCATGGCGTATTTCCCTGTCCCATGGATTTGGGGTTCCGGCACATACTGACTTTAGCCAATGGAACCTTAGAGGATGATAGGCATAGAGGCCTTAAACTTGTTTGCACAGTTAAGTTTGGCTCTTGTGTTCTCGCTCTTTACACAGGAACTGCTGAGTAGACGTACTGGTCCAAGAACAGTGAAAGACATGTAAAGCAGATGTAACCCCAAACAACAGCTGAAGAAGAGTTGCCCAACTCCGCCAGCCTAGATCAAACTGCAGTCAAATGTACACCCTTGAGCATGGGAATAAATTCATGTTTTTGTAAATCATGAAGTTTTGGAGGTTATAGAGCATTATTTTGGTAATAGCTTATTATTAATACAGCCCATACACTGAAATAAACCCCAGAATTATTTCACAATGTATGATTTTTAAAACACACTTAGAAAGCTAACCATCAATAAATTAATTTTCCCAACTCAGTTATAGATTTAGTATTAAAAATGATTAACTATATAAAATAAAAATTTAAACTAAGTAGCCTAACTTGTATCTATTAGCAGTATAACTGGTAAAATCTGCAAGGATGTATTACTTGGAAGTTAAGAAATATAAAAACTATTTGCTGAATACATGCTAATATAATCAGGTTCCAATAAACATCTTGATGAAAGCAAATTAATCACTAATCTGACATTTTCTTTTGGCAAATTAGCAAGATTAGGTTTCACATTAAATGAAAATGTGTGTGTAAGGACTTAACAACTGAAAGAATATAATTCAATTAAATATCCTCCCAGTATTCTTCCATTTCAGACATTTCTATGCCTAATTTTCATGTTTTCAGATCTCAGGCAGGGCTTGTAAAGCAGTGTCATCTTTCTTGTGAGATTTTCTTTACAGAATAGCCAAGACGTTTGTAGGGAAAGCATTTGGCACATTCAGAAACCTTATGATGTTATTCTTTTAACCTGTGTCCCTCCATTGGTCTAGCTGGAAAATTAAAAACACTACACTTGGTTCTCACAGTGAATATTAAGAAGGTGTTTATTTTTTTTCAAGTGAGCCTCTTAAAGAAACATAACTCAGTTTTAATTTTTTATTGAGATCCAGGATCTTTTCCTAACAAAATGCTGGTTTATTAGATAAACAGTGTTTACAAACTATAACAGAGCTTCTAATGGAAGTAAATTTTACTCCCATTGGATGCTCTCTGCCACTAATAAAAAAAATATTTCAAAATAATACACAAAGAAGAAAATGAAACAATGTTCATTAAGAAACACAGTCCACAAAAAGAAATTTAATCTTTATGAGAGTTAGGAGTAATGCTTGACAATAGATGAATAATACAGGTGACCAAATAGACATAGTATTCTATTTTCTTGAGATGGCTGATAGTTAAAAATGACAGTGAAAAAACAAAATATATCCCTAAACAACAACAAAAGGAGATGTGGCAATCAAGAGAAACCCCAGAGGCAGGTCTCCAAAGTAAAGCCACTACATGTGTCTTTTGGCTAACTTAAGGTAGAGCTATGAAAACCATTTCTTGTGTGTTCATGCATTGTAAGGCAGTAGATCTTGTGATCAGGAAGAAAACTTAGAGAAAGCAAAGAAAGACAGTATTTGTGGAAGGCTATAAATTTTCCTGTCATAAAAATTGATAGATATAATATGTTCCTATGTTAATTCAGAATTGCAGTGGAACTCCTAAATAAATCAAAAAACTAGAAAATTTTTAATCTCTAATAACCATAAGACCAAGTAAATTTCAAGTCTAAATTATTTTAAAGTTTAAATGACTCCCAAGACACCTTAAAAGTTTTCCATCTTTGTGGTAGGCAAAATTCTAAGACAGCCCCCCAAGATTTCTGGCATCTTGTATACATACATCTTCTCCCAGTTATTCAATCAAATACTAGTGCCTCTGTGAACGAATTTTGTACTTGTATCATAATTACAGACCCAAATCGGTTGACCTTAAGTTAGCACTCAACTATAAGTGAGCCAGGCTTAATAACATAAGCCCTTTAAAAGCAGAGAATTTTCTCCCTGTGGTTTCAGGAGAGGAAGTTAAGAGAGTTTCAAGGTGCAAGTGAGATTTAATGAGGGGAAAATTCCCCATTGCAGACTATACATTTGCTATTGAACTGTAAGCAATTATGACAAATTTGGTGGTTTAAAACAATGTAAATGTATTCTGTCACAGATCTGGAGGTCAGAAATCCACAATTAGTCTTAAGGGGCTAAAATTCAGGTGTCAGCAGGGTTGGTTCCTTCTGGAAGCAGCAGGGGACAATCTGTTCCTTGATCTTCCAGCTCCAGAAGCTTCAGCACTCCATGGCTCTTAGCTGTATTGCAGCAATCTCTGCTTTCATTGTCGTATTGCCTTCTCCCATAAAAGGACCCTTGCGGCTACATCAGCCTCATCCAGATAATCCAGGATAATCTCCCATGTCAAAAATCTTAATTATCACACCTGCAAAAATCCTCTTTGCCATATAAGTTATCACATTCAGAGGTTGCAGGGATTAGGACATGGAGATCTTTTGAGTGAGGCATTATTCAGCCTACCACACTGGCTTTGAAGATGAAAGAAGTTACATGACATGATGGTGAATTTATGTGTCAACTTGACTGGGCCACCAGGTGTCTAGGTATTTGGTTAAAAATTACCCTGGGTGTGTCTGTAAGGATGTTTCTTGATGACTCCAAAGACACTTTAAAAGTTTGAATCCTTTAAATCAATAGACTGAGTAAAGCAGCCTACAGTCCTCAATGTGGGTGGGCCTGTTCCAATCCATTGGAGGTCTGAATTGAGCAGAAGGCAGAATAAAGTAGAATTCACTCTTTCTGCCTGTTTTCACTCTGGGCCATCAGTCTTCTGCACTCAGACTAGAACTTGTAACACCAGCTCTTGTGGGTATTCAGTCTCCAGCTTGCACACGGCAGATCATGGGCCTTCTCAGCCTCTATAATCACGTGAGCCAATTCCTTATAATAAATAAATATTAACAAATATTCAAGTAATATAAATATAAATATCTTATTGGTTCTGTTCCTCTGGAGAACCCTGACTAACACATGTGGTAGAGAATGTGGGTGGCCTATAGGGGCTGAAAGCAGCATTCAACTAACAGCCAGCACAAAGCAGACAAACCTCAGCCCTACAACTACAAAGAACTGAATTTTTCCAACAACAAAAAAATGAATTTAGGCCAGATGCAGTGGCTCATATCTGTTATCTTAGTACTTTGGGAAGCCAAGGAGGGAGGATCACTTGAGCCCAGGAGTTCGAGAAAAGCCTGGGCAACAGAGTGAGAGACCCATTTCTATAAAAAAAATATAAAACTTAGTTGTGTATAGTGGTGGCATTCACTATGGTCTCAGCTATGTGGAAGCTGAAGCAGGAGGACTGCTTGAACCCAGGAGGTTGAGGCTGCAGTGAGCAGATATTCTCACCACTACACTCCAACCTGGGCAACAGAGCAAGAACACGTCTCAGAAAAAAAAAATGAGTTTAGAAGCAAATTTTTCCAGAGTCTTCAGATGAGAATTCATCCAAATGAATACCCTGATTTTAGCCCTGTGATAATCTAACGAAGAACTCTGTCATGCCATGCCAGACTTCTAACCTATGAAAGGGTAAGCAAAACAACATGAATATTGTTTTAAGCTACTAAATGTGTGATCATTTGTTACTCAGCAATAGAAAACTAATACAATCTCAAAATATTTTAACTTCAAGATATTTTGAACGTTTAAAAAATATTTAATATTTGTGACTGTGTTCATGATACTATGTGCTTTGAATTCTCTCCTCAAGTCATGAAAAACTGTGAGTAGCATGGATATGTGCAGACATCAGTATCACCTAGTGATCCATGTTCTTTGTTGACATCAGCAAAATTATTAATAATTTAGTCAACACATACTCTAGCAACATATAAATGAAAGCTTTTGAAAAGATAATACTCGGTTACTTAGTAAGAAAACAAGAGACACAAGCAAAGACTTACAAGAAGATGGCACCATGAGAACATACCTGCATAACCATTCTTCTTGAGGTCTATTAAAATAAATAACATAAACCTGATCTAAAGACAAACGTATCATCTTTAATAACACTAGGGAACTACCACAACATAAAGATTTCCAATAATATCTACTCTTCCATATATAATTTAAACCCAACCACAGGAGAATACTGAGAGAGAAAATCTATCTCCGTAATCTTGATCAGAGTGCAGATTTTTTAAAAACAGAGCTCCTTTTTTTCCATTGGCTGAATCATATTCTAATGTATTATATATAGTATGTATATGTGTATATGTGCATTTGTGTGTATGTGTATGCCACATTTTCTTTATCCATTTGTCCATCAAATTCTAAGATTGAATCCATACCTTGGTGAATAATGCTGCAATGAACATGGAATGTATATGTCAACGCAGATGAACCTGGAGGACATTATGGTAAGTGAAATAAGCCCAACACAAAAAGACAAATACTGTAAGATCTCACATACATGTGAAATTTTGAAAAGTCAAACTCATAGAAACAGAGACTAAAACACTGGTTACCAGGGACTAGGAGGTAGGAGAAATGGACAGATGTTCATCATAGGGTACAAACTTTCAGTTATAAAATAAACAAGTTCTGGGGATCTAAGGTACAGCATGTGTGGTGATGGGTATGTTAATTTGATTTTATAATTATTATACAATATATACATACATCAAATAATCATGTTGTGTACTTTGAAAATATATATAATCTTTATTTGTCACCTAAATATCTTAACATTAACAAATAGATAAATAAATAGGCCAATATCCTTTAAGTAGCCAGGGAAAATACCAATGGTCAGGTGGAACCATGGAACGAAAAAAGAAGCACCCAACTTGAGTTAGATTTGCATACTCAGGGACAAACCATGTGGCAAAGTTGAAGAAGGTACCATGTAGCACTGCCCCCACATGCGTACATACATATGTGTACCACATACATGTACTGTGATATCTTTAGTTTGTGTGAACCTGAGATAATCCATCATTATGATATTTCAAAAAAAAAAATTATAAGACGGTCCTTTTTTCTTATATACTACCCTAAACTCAACCCTATACACACACACACACATGCACACACAGTGACACATGTCTTAAGGCAGATGATTAATCAGATCTCAAGAGAAAGTGTTTAGAAACAACACTCTGACAAACAGCAAGATCAATGGTCCCCATCTATAACCCTATTCTCACTCACCAGAAATCAGTAAGGACAGTTCACAGAGACTGAGATCAGTCCTCCTCTAGGCCTTCTACCTAGATTACCAGTGATGAAGATGCTACATAAAGTAGCATCAAGCTTCCCCAGAATTTCAACTCCACTAACGTTCAAAAAAGAGCCCCTCCCTGACCTGGGGTCCACAGTAAATCCTTGGACTGTGTCAAAGTCAGGAAAATGCCTCCCCCAGGCTTATTAACCCTATAGTATAGGGTCCAGTTGGGTTTCATTTACTGAGTCAAAGACTTGCTTCCCCATTTCTTGAGGGAGCTTCAAGCACATAACTCTTCCTGCCCATAACACTCAGCCTTGCTACCACTCACCTTGAATTAACCAAGGTGAATCTTATTGTGGCCTTTAGTCTTTTTTATCTTAAACTAAACATCCCCAGATGTCTCGTTCGACACTCATCTCCTACCCTATGATCTCCATAAGGCTCTGATAGCGCCTCTTCTATTACCTTCTCTCATCCTTCTTGAAATCCTCCTACTAGACCTTCAGATTCCCATAATCTGTCCATCATCACCATAATCTCACCCATCCCCAGCCTCTTCTTTCATATGTTCCCTTTATCTTTTTACTTCCTTTTCACAAGGTAAACTTGGCACTGCTTCCCCACACAGTCCTTTCAAGTAAAGGCTGATTTTCTCCCTGCCCTCATATTGCTGAGCATGGGAGTGGGTGGAGATCTTCTCTGTTGCTTATTGCTACTTTCTCACTTCAGTCTACCTAAAAACTTCCAGCTTGACATTTCTTGGCATCATAGTATATCACCTCCTGTCTCTCAATGTTGCCCCATCTCTAGAACTTCCCCCAGATCACTCCCTCTTGATTCTCAAATACTTCCGCTTCTGGCTCATTGTCCGTATCCTCATGACTATTCCTTCCTTAATTTTTGGAGTTTTAATATACATGTAGATGACCCTTTAAATTCTCAGTTGCTTGAACTCTTCTCCAATGATCTTGTCTTCAACATTATTTTAGTTGTCATACCATAGACCTTATTATTATAACTTTTATCTCCACATAATCATAATTTCACATATCCTACTACTGAATAACTACCTCATTTTATTCCTCTCACTCCATTTAGCACCCCAACTCCAACAATCCTTTGACCCCACCAGACTCCAGCTTATTTGTCTTACCAACATTTTACTGTCCCCAACATTCTTGATATTCTCTCTCTTACCTAGCTTTATTTCCATGGTCGATCATTATAATCCTTCCTATACCTTTAACTTACTTCCCCTTTCTCCCCATCATTGTAATGTCTTGGAAATGTAATGACTTGGAAATGTCTAACCCTGGTTAAATGTAACCTTTCAACCATCCCATACTTGTACTCCCGTAGCTGGACATGGCTGAAGAAAAACACACAATTACCCTGTCTGGTGTCACTTTGAATTCATAGTTGCAAATCTAAAACCACCCTCTAATACTCCTTGACTCTCATACTACATTTCCCTAGCCTGTTCATTTGCTACTCTCCTAGAAAACCATTTTACTTTTTCTCTTTTGCCTCAAATTTTCATCATCTCTTCCTGCTTCCTCATTCTTAGATGAGCTTGCTTCCAACTTCACTATGAAAATTTAAATAATCAGAAGACAACTTTTATAAACTCCTACTACCACATCTACCCAACCACCAGTGCCTGTACCTCCCACCTGTTACCATGGCAGCTTAACTGTTGCAGAGGAAGTAGCTACCATGGTATACCAGTTTTCGAGTACTGTTCTAGGAATCATTCCTTGTAGCCCAGCTTCGAACTTGTTTCTCCTGTCCTTCTGGTAATGTTGTAACACAAACTTTCCAGCTGTAAATGCTTTGCACTTAAAGTAGCTAAAGTAGCTTCCTGTATCTGCACCTTAACCGTGACTGATACCTCAGTCAAAAATTAATTATATGCAGAAAAAATCTAATAAGGTTGATAGCATAAAGGAAAGAAAAAAGAATGAAACATAATAAAAGGCAGGTGAAGAAAATATTTTGAAATAGATACTACAGGAAACAGAAGAAAATTTTAGACAAAATATCCTAAATCCATAATTATAGCAAAGAGAAAGATGCAAGAGAACAAATGTGAGATGCTATTTTGACTGAGGAAGATTTAAAAGTGAGCCAGGATAGCTAAGGGAAAACACCATTACAGAAAACGAAAACCAAATTGGAAACAGCGAGATGATAAACCAACCCTGGCAGAAACATGGTTGTAACATGGAAGGATAGCTCAAGAAAATAACACAGAAATGAAGAGGGTAGATTTGGAAGGCAGTCATTACATAAAAAGGAGAATAAAACGTGAAATTATTTATCAATAAACATTTGTTTTCTAAAAGAAAATGTGTATGTTCATATTGAAAGGGCTTGCTGTGTTCCATGAACAAATAACTTTAAAATCATGATATTTCCTAATGATATTACTGAATTCCAAAGACAAAGGCTCTTGTAAGTATTGAAAGAGAAGAATCAGATCCCCTACAAATGTTTAAAAAAAAACAACGAATAAACTCAGACTTCACTTCAGAAAAACTCAAGGCCAAAAAGACAAAGAAACTACATCTCCAAAAGGATGAAAGAAAGGGGATGGAACTCAAGAACTATATATTGAGACATGCTGACATTTACAGAGCAGGAGGAAATGTTCAATTTTGCAATACTTCTAGAATAACATCACTTAAAAGCTCTTTCTGAAAAAGAAACATGCATGAAGTCTTAATAGAGCCAGTTGGAAAATGATTCAAAACAAAAAAATCACAAGTGAAGAACACTGACTGTGAAAGAACTCGTGGCACACACTGACTCAAAATAATATAAATATTCACAATGACCTTGGTAGTAATGTTACCACTCTTGAAAAAAACCTGTATAACTATTAGTTATAATAATACACTAAGTGATCAGTGTAAAACTTTCAAAATGGCCTAACAAAAACAAAGGAAAAAACTGAAGAAGATTCACAATCTACAAACACAATATTACTAAATATAAAATAAAAATACTCATTAATCAAATGAAATTTAAACACAAAATAAACCTAATGGAAGTAGAATGAAATAGTAATAATTTTTAAAAGCAAGATTAATTAATTAGAAAGTAGCAATGCCATACAATAGATGAATAATCCTAGAGGTAACTCCTAAAGCGAAAAATTAAGTAACTGAATTCCTAAATATTTAAAAATAACACAATCAATAAGCACAAAATTAGGAATAAGAATGAGGGGAAAACACAAATATTCCATAAAGTAAGAAAATTACAGGCATACCTCATTCTGTTGTTCTTCCCTTGATTGTACTTCACAGATATGGTGTTTTTTTTTTTTACAAATTGTAGCTTTGTGGCAACCCTACATTAAACAAGTCTATCAGCATCATTTTCCAAACATGCTTTGCTCACTTTGTGTCTCTATGTCTCATTCTGGTACTTTTCACAGTATTGCTAACTTTTTCATTATTATTATATCTGTTATGGTGATCTGTGATCAGTGATCTTTGGCGTTCCTTTTGTAATTGTTTTGGGCACCACAAACCATGCCCATATAAGACAGTGAGCTAAAAGGATAAATGTTGTGTTGTTCTGACTGCTCCACCAACCACCTGTTTCTCCATCTCTCTCTCTTTTCTCAGGCCTTCCTACTCCCTGAGATACAACAGTATTCAAATTAGGCCAATTAATCACCCTACAATAGCCTCTAAGTGTCTCAAGTGAAAGTAAGACTCACATGTTTCTTACTTTAAATCAAAAGCTAGAAAAGATTAAGCTTAGTGAGAAAAGCATTTTGAAAGCCAAGATACACTGAAAGCTAGGCCTCTTGCAGTCTTAGCCAAGTTGTGAATGCAAAGGGGAAGTTCTTGAAGGGAATTTTTTTTATCTTACTTTTGTTTGTTTTTATTAATTTGTTTAGATATAGAGAGAACTAATCCCCAAAACATAGGAACTGTGCCTTCTGCAGGTCCAAGCACAATGTTCTACACATAGCTGGCACTCCTTAATTATTCGTTGGTTGAGATGAGGTGACCAGGACATTTAGCAAAACTCCAGCCCATAGAATCAGAATTCTAGGTTTAGAAAGCCTGTATATATATATACACACACTTTAAGTTCTAGGGTACATGTGCACAATGTGCAGGTTTATTACATATGTATACATGTGCCATGTTGGTGTGCTGCACCCATTAACTCGTCATTTACATTAGGTATATCTCCTAATGCTATCCCTCCCCCCTCCCTCACCCCACAACAGGCCATGGTATGTGATGTTCCCCACCCTGTGTCCAAGTGTTCTCATTGTTCAATTCCCACCTATGAGTGAGAACATGTGGTGTTTGGTTTTCTGTCCTTGTGATAGTTTGCTCAGATAGATGGTTTCCAGTTTCATACGTGTCCCTACAAAGGACATGAACTCGTCTTTTTTTATGGCTTCATAGTATTCCATGGTGTATATGTGCCACGTTCTCTTAATCCAGTCTATCATTGTTGGACATTTGGGTTGGTTCCAAGTCTTTGCTATTGTGAATAGTGCCGCAATAAACATACGTGTGCATGTGTATTTATAGCAGCATGATTTATAATCCCTTGGGTATATACCCAGTAATGGGAATGCTGGGTCAAATGGTATTTCTAGTTCCAGATCCCTGAGGAATCGCCACACTGACTTCCACAATGGTTGAACGAGTTTACAGTCCCACCAACAGTGTAAAAGTGTTCCTATTTCTCCACATCCTCTCCAGCACCTGTTGTTTCCTGACTTTTTAATGATCACCATTCTAACTGGTGTGAGATGGTATCTCATTGTGGTTTTGATTTGCATTTCTCTGATGGCCAGTGATGGTGAGCATTTTTTCATGTGTCTGTTGGCTGCATAAATGTCTTCTTTTGAGAAGTGTCTGTTCATATCCTTTGCCCACTTGTTGACAGGGTCGTTTGTTTTTTTCTTGTAAATTTGTTTAAGTTCTTTGTAGATTCTGGATATTAGCCCTTTGTCAGACAGGTAGATAGCAAAAATTTTTTCCCATTCTGTATGTTGCCTGTTCACTCTGATGGTAGTTTCTTTTGCTGTGAAGAAGCTCTTCAGTTTAATTAGATCCCATTTGTCAATTTTGGCTTCTGTTGCCATTGCTTTTGGTGTTTTAGTCATGAAGTCCTTGGCCATGCCTATGTCCTGAATGGTATTGCCTAGGTTTATTTCTAGGGCTTTTATGGTTTTAGGTCTGACATTTAAATCTTAATCCATCTTGAATTAATTTTGTATAAGGTGTAAGGAAGGGATCCAGTTTCAGCTTTCTACATATGGCTAGCCAGTTTTCTCAGCACCATTTATTAAATAGGGAATCCTTTCCCCATTTCTTGTTTTTGTCAGGTTTGTCAAAGATCAGATGGTTGTAGAAGTATGGTCTTATTTCTGAGGACTCTGTTCTGTTCCATTGGTCTGTATCTCTGTTTTGGTAGTAGTACCATGCTGTTTTGGTTACTGTAGACTTGTAGTATAGTTTGAAGTCAGGTAGTGTGATGCCTCCAGCTTTGTTCTTTTGGCTTAGGATTGACTTGGCGATGTGGGCTCTTTTTTGGTTCCATATGAACTTTAAAGTAGTTTTTTCCAATTCTGTGAAGAAAGTCATTGGTAGCTTGATGGGGATGGCATTGAATCTATAAATTACCTTGGGCAGTATGGCCATTTTCACGATATTGATTTTTCCTACCCATGAGCATGGAATATTCTTCCATTTGTTTGTGTCCTCTTTTATTTCATTGAGCAGTGGTTTGTAATTCTCCTTGATGAGGTCCTTCACATCGCTTGTAAGAAAGTAGTATTTTGGTGAATACATGAATGATAAGAAGCAAAACAGCCTTATCACTGATATGGAGAAAGTTTTAGTGATGTGGATGGACGATTTAACCAGCCACAACATTCCCTTAAGCCAAAACCTAATCCAGAGCAAGGCCCTATCTCTCTTCAATTCTATCATGGCAGAGAGAGGTGAGGAAGCCGCAGAAAAAAAAAGTTTGAAGCTAACAGAGGATGGTTCATAAAGTTTAACAAAAGAGGCCAACTGCATAACTTAAAAGTGTAAGGTGAAGCAGCAAGCACAGATGTAGAAGCTGCCACAAGTTATATGTGGATATAAATATCAACATTAACAGGAATTTTGAAGAAGTTGGTTTCAACCCTCTTGAATTACTTTAAGGGGTTCAAGACTTCAGTGTAAGAAGGAACTGCAGATGTGGTAGAAATAGCAAGAGAACCACAATTAAAAAGGGAGCTGGAAGATGTGACTAAATTGCTGCAATTTCACGATAAAACTTGAATGAATAAGGAATTGCTTCTTATGCATGAGCAAAGAAACAGGTTTCTAGAAACGTAATTCACTCCTGGTGAAGATGCTGTTGTTAAAATGACAAGAAGTTTTCTGAATAGTACATAAACTTAGTTGATAAAGTAGCAGCAGAGTTTGAGACAATTGACTCCAAGTTGGAAAGAAGTTCTACAATGGGTAAAATGCTATCAAAGAGCACTGCAGGCTACAGAGAAATTTTTCATGAATGAAAGAGTCCAACGATGTGGCAAACTTCCTTGTTGTATTATTTGAAGAAATTGCTACAGCCACCCCAACTTTCAGCAACCGCCACCATGATCAGACACTAGCCATCAAAATCGAGGCAGGCCAGGCACAGTGGCTTACACCTGTAATCCCAGCACTTTGAGAGGCTGAGGCGGGAGGACCACCTGAGGTCAGGAGGTCAAGACCAGCCTCGCCAACATGACAAAACCCCATCTGTACTAAAAATACAAAACATATCTGGGCATGGTGGTGTGCACCCGTAATCCCAGCTACTTGGGAGGCTGAGCAGGAGAATCGCTTGAACATGGGAGGTGGAGGTTGCAGTGAGCTGGGATCACACCATTGTACTCCAGCCTGGCAACAAGAGCGAAACTCCGTCTTAAAAAATAAATAAATAAATACATAAATAAATAAATAAATCGAGGCAACCCTTTCTACCAGCAAAAAGATTGATTTGTGAAGGCTCAGATGATCATTAGCTTTTTTAAACAATCAAGTATTTTTAAGTTATTTACATTTTTTTTAGATATAATGCTATTGCACACTTCAGAGGCTAATGTATAGTATAAATGTAACTTTTATATGCACTGGGAAACCAAAAAATGTGTGTGAGTTTTTACTCGCTTTATTATGATATTTGCTTTATTACTGTGGTCTGGAACTAAACCTACACTATCTCCAAGGTATGCCTATGTATGGAAAGATTTGCCTAATTTTGAGCGAATAAATACTTAAACCAAAATAAAGTGGATGATTCAAATTAAAAATTTCTGGGTTTTTTTCTTTTTTTTTTTTTATTATCCTTTAAGTTCTGGGATACATGCGCAGAATGTGTGGGTTTGTTACATAGGTATACATGTGCCATGGTGGTTTGCTGCACCCATCAACCCGTCATCTAGGTTTTTAGCCCTACATGTATTAGGTATTTGTCCTAATGCTCTCCCCTCCCCCTTTTTTAAGACAGAGCCTCACTCTGTTGCCCAGGCTGGAGTGAAGTGGAGCAATCTCACTCAGCTCATTGCAACCTCTGCTTCCCAGGCTCAAGGGATCCTCCCACTTCAGCCTCCTGAGTAGCTGGAAGGAGGTGCACACCACCACACCTGGCTAATTTTTTTATATTTTTGGTAGAGAGAAGGTTTCTCCATGTTGCCCGGACTGGCCTTCAACTCCTGGGATCAAGGAAGTTTGAGGAAGTAGCTCTATAAAAATTTAAATAACAATCTGTACAATATTAAATAATTGGACTATATTAAATAATTGGACTATATTAATTAAATAATCCATGATGGTAGGTTATTTTAACTTTCAAAGAGCTATTTCCTCAAATTTCACCAAGTCTGACAGTTTCACAAATAAATTATTTCAGATCTCCAAGGGATAAAAATTCCATGCTATTTAAACTATACCAGAACACATGAAAAAAAAAAAAAAGAAATGTTTCCCAAATTATTTGTAAAGTTAGCATATCATTGCCACCATAAAAAACAAAGTTCATATTTTCAGGAAGGCAAGGATGGCTCAAAATTAAGAATTCTGTTAATAATGTTCATCATATAGTCATCCAAATAAATGGCAAAAAATGATTTTATAAAATGAATTTTATAATATAGTCATCTAAATGGCAAAATTCATTTATAAAAACTACTTTATAAAAATCGGTTTAAAAAGTTATTGATTTCTGACTTAAGTCAATATAGTAAAAATGTCTAGTTACTAAATTAAGATAATAGCATATATAACCAAAAGCCAGGATCATGCTTAATCTTAAAACGCTAGAAGCATAATGATTAAAAATAAGGAGCAAGATGAGTGGATGCCCAATATTACAATTAGAGATTCACTTTGCTCTGGAAGAACTCTGAAAACAGATTATTGGAGTAAGATCTAGAAACATTTTTAAAAAGTCAATTTAATGATTTGTAGACTATATGATTGTGTATCTGGAAAACCAAAAGTAAGCCAGTAAGAAAGTACTAGAAGAAAACAAGATATTTAGCATTTACCTGGACCCAAATTCAATATACAAAAATAGCTTTGTATTTTCTTATAGAACATAGTAGTAAAATATATCAATAATTGAAACAAGAACTACAAAACATTCCAGGAGAGTTTAACAAGAAATGCATAGTTTCTATAAGAAAAAGAGTATAAAACTACTGCAGAACATAAAAGACTTGAAAAACTAGTTTAGTTTTGAACAGAAAGACTCAGTAGTTTAAAAGTGTTATTTTTCCTCAGATTAATCTACAAATTTGATGTTAGAGAGCCAAATCATGAGTGAACTCCCATTCACAATTGCTTCAAAGAGAATAAAATACTTAGGAATCCAGCTTACAAGGGATGTGAAGGACCTCTTCAAGGAGAACTATAAACCACTGCCCAAGGAAATAAAAGAGGATACAAACAAATGGAAGAATATTCCATGCTCATGGGTAGGAAGAATCAATATCGTGAAAATGGCCATACTGCCCAAGGTAATTTACAGATTCAATGCCATCCCCATCAAGCTACCAATGACTTTCTTCACAGAATTGGAAAAAACTACTTTAAAGTTCATATGGCACCAAAAAAGAGCCCGCATTGCCAAGTCAATCCTAAGCCAAAAGAACAAAGCTGCAGGCATCACGCTACCTGACTTCAAACTATACTACAAGGCTACAGTAACCAAAACAGCATGGTACTGGTACCAAAACAGAGATATAGATCAATGGAACAGAACAGAGCCCTCAGAAATAACGCCGCATATCTACAACTATCTGATCTTTGACAAACCTGACAAAAACAAGAAATGGGGAAAGGATTCCCTATTTAATAAATGGTGCTGGGAAAATTGGCTAGCCATATGTAGAAAGCTGAAACTGGATCCCTTCCTTACACCTTATACAAAAATTAATTCAAGAGGGATTAAAGACTTAATGTTAGACCTAAAACCATAAAAACCCTAGAAGAAAACCTAGGCAATACCATTCAGGACATAGGCATGGGCAAGGACTTCATGTCTAAAATACCAAAAGCAATGGCAACAAAAGACAAAATTGACAAATGGGATCTAATGAAACTAAAGAGCTTCTGCACAGCAAAAGAAACTACCATCAGAGTGAACACACAACCTACAAAATGGGAGAAAATTTTTGCAACCTACTCATCTGACAAAGGGCTAATATCCAGAATCTACAATGAACTCAAACAAATTTACAAGAAAAAAACAAACAACCCCATCAAACAGTGGGTGAAGGACATGAACAGACGCGTCTCAAAAGAAGACATTTATGCAGCCAAAAAACACATGAAAAAATGCTCACCATCACTGGCCATCAGAGAAATGCAAATCAAAACCACAATGAGATATCATCTCACACCAGTTAGAATGGCAGTCATTAAAAAGTCAGGAAACAACAGGTGCTGGAGAGGATGTGGAGAAATAGGAACACTTTTACACTGTTGGTGGGACTGTAAACTAGTTCAACCATTGTGGAAGTCAGTGTGGCAATTCCTCAGGGATCTAGAACTAGAAATACCATTTGACCCAGCCATCACATTACTGGGTATATACCCAAAGTATTATAAATCATGCTGCTATGAAGACACATGCACACGTATGTTTATTGTGGCACTATTCACAATAGCAAAGAATTGGAACCAACCCAAGTGTCCATCAATGATAGACTGGATTAAGAGAACGTGGCACATATACACCATGGAATACTATGCAGCCATAAAAAATGATGAGTTCATGTCCTTTGTAGGGACATGGATGAAATTGGAAATCATCATTCTCAGTAAACTATTGCAAGAACAAAAAACCAAGCACCGCATATTCTCACTCATAGGTGGGAATTGAACAGTGAGAACACATGGACACAGGAAGGGGAACATCACACTCTGGGGACTGTTGTGGGGTGGGGGAGGGGGGAGGGATAGCATTGGGAGATATAGCTAATGCTAGATGGCGAGTTAGTGGGTGCAGCGCACCAGCATGGCACATGTATACATATGTAACTAACCTGCACATTGTGCACATGTACCCTAAAACTTATAGTATAATAATAATAAATAAATAAATAAATAAATAAAAGTCAGTAATATCCCCACTCTACTTTTTTAAAATGGCTCTGTATTTTAGCAAAAGGAAAGTGAAAAGCCTCTTAGATATTCAAACATATTAAAGTTACAGTAAATAAAAACATCACAGTATCAGCACAGAAATAGCCAGAATTAGCAAAATAAAATAGACCCAAGTATATAGAAATACAGTCTTTGATAATGACAGTATTTTAAATCAGCAGAGGGGAAATGTAACTATTCAAAGAAGAAGGTTTTACAATCAACTAGCCACTTGGAAAAGGACAGCAATTTGGAAAATAATTACACTGAATCCATTACCTTATATTTTGTTACAAAATATATTCCAGAAAGATGAAAAATGTACACAAAGAGCTGAAGAGTAAATTCACAAAAAACTAAATGAAACTATGGTAAATATTATAAGCTTAGAATGGAGGAGATATTTATAAGCATGACATAAGAACTAGAAGAAATTATGAAAACATATGTTCAGATAATTAGAAAGTTCTGCAAGGCAAAATACAACATAAGCAAAATAAATAGAGACAATAAGGAGAAAGTATAGACAATGCACAGAAACAGCAACACTCTTCCAAATTTTATTTTTTAGATTTTCATGGAGCAATTTCTTTTTTCTCTTTCCCCTATTCTTTTTCCTCCAGATAACAGAAAGTTGTTTATATCAAGATAATTTATGATATTTTCAGTAAAACTAAGAATCAAATAACTTAGTAAGGCCTACACTTTATCACTATATATCAATATACCTAAGATATTAATATATACCATATTAGCATATATGTATAAATAAGTATTGTTTAAAGGCAAACAATAAAACAATTCACAAGGCAAACCTTGTTTTGAGTTACTGGGTTATTAAAGGCAAATAGCCCAATCGGGAAAAAATGTACATGAACAGGCAACTCATAAAAGAAATATCATGGGCCAATAAACTTATGAAAAGAAGAAATAAATTCAAACTAAAACAAGATCGGCAAAGATTAATTTAGATCTTTATATTGATACTAGCCAGTACTGACGAGTGTCTGGAGAGGCTTAACGCAACTTTACTTGGTAGAGCAATTACTAATACATTGACCAGCAAAATATTTATTAGGAATCTATTAAAATGTTACAAGTTAAGAATCTTTGATCCAGCAATACTGTGTGTACTAATTTAGAGTACAGAAACAGAAAGAAGAATAGGGGGAAATGAGAAATAGGGATATGAGTAAATGAAAAAAGGGGTTCTGGGAAAGAGAAATAAGAAGAGGAGAATGAAAAGTGTAGGAGATAAATAGAAAGGAGAAAGGGAAGAAGAGAAAGGAAGAGAGGAAGCCAAAGGAGGAGGAAAAACAATAGGGGAAGGAGAAGAAAGAATTGCTACATAAAAATATGAAAAATAAGTTCTGGAAAAATGTCTACAAACTGTTGGTCACAATTGCTTCTGGAGAGTAAGATTATAGAGGAATTTCATCTTATTGTTAAATATTTGCACAGCATTTAATTTTTTATAACAAGTATATATGATTTTTGAAATGATCAAATATTTCAAAGTGAAATAAAAATGCAAGCAAGCTTAGAAAAAAAGCATTTCTTCCACATTGGTTTCACTCCTACTTTTTGCTTACCCAGTCTTTATCTTAAGCCCCCCATAGAGACAGTTTATTACTTCCATCCCAGCTGTGGCCTCTCTCCCTCTTTGCTCAATGACTGAAAAGATAGAAGAGAATGGAATGGTCTCCATCAAAGCTTTACCTTTAACACCCAACATTGACACAATCTGTCTCTCTAAAGTGCTCAGATTGTTGATTTTAAGAACCATTAGGCAAGAAAAGTTGGAAAGCTAGTGCTGAGTTATATAAATAATGATCTAAAAGAAATGGAAATTATTGTACTTTGCCAAGTCAGCAATCTAAGAACTCTGTTGGGGAAGCAGCAGAAAGTTGTTTATATCAAGATAGTTTGTGATGTTTCCAATAAAACTAAGAATCAAAGAACTTACTTGGACAGTACTACTCCTTATTAATACTTTGGAAATGTCTTATCAGCAGAAGGCCTCCTAGGAATTTTTATCCTTACTCAGCAGAGTAAAGATGAGAGTTTTTACCTTTTGAACTAAATTTTTGAATCCTTCTTTGCATTGGGTCAGTACCATAACAATTCAGTTTAGTACAGTATTGACTATTACATAATAAACAATATATTACATTGCTTTATATATATTATTTTGTATGTTCCTACATATTTATATTTCCACAGTGTAGGCAATAATAAAAATGATGAAGGTGCTTAGAGAAATATAGTTTAGTAACCAACTCTCCCAATCAACACATCAATTATTTCGAAGACAGAGAGCCAAAGTTCCCTGAGGAATTTATTTTTTGTTACACTGCTAAACATAGGGATGACTTACAGATATGGCAGTAAGCACCAACCCATCTTCTGTAACTTGGTAATAGTTTAGAGGTGTGTATATTTGACAGACACATGCACACCTTACGTGTCTCTGGGCAGCCTTCGTTAAAAAAAAATAACAGCTTGCTTCTTTATACCCTTTTTATCTTCTGGATGACAGCCCTCATAACTGCTAAATAATTGTACCTCACAGTCACTTTAATTCAAATCTTATATATGCATTTAGAGCAAGATAGTCTTTTCCTTCTATAGTCTACTTCTAGATTCTTCTTCAAGTGAAACGTGTGGTCATCTTAAGACAGATCCAAAATTCAAAATGATGACTCTTTGATGAGCAAAACTCCACTGCAGCTGACCTCAGGAAGAAAGAAATCCTGGTAACAGAACTCCAAGGATTATTCATTTATTTAATCTTCTTGTAACTTTTATTTTAGGTTCAGGGGTATATGTGCAGGTTTCTTACGTGAGTACATTGCGTGTTGCTGGGGTTTGGTGTACAAATGACTTAGCCACCCAGGTAGTTAGCACAGTACCTGGCAAGTAGTTTTTTAATCTTTACCCTCCTCCCACCCTCCACCACCAAGTAAGTCTTGGTGCCTATTGTTCCCCTCTTCATGTCCATGTGTACTCAATGTTTAGTTCTCACTTATAAGTGAGAGCATACAGTATTTGGTTTTCTGTTTCTGCATCCATGTTGCTGCCTGTGACATGATTTCACTCTTTTTTATGGCTATGTAGCATTCCATGGTGTATATGTACTACATTTGCTTTATCCAGTCCACTGTTGATGGGCACCTAGGTTGATTCTATGTCTTTGCTGTTGTGAAAAGTACTGTGATGAACATACACATGCATGTGTCTTTATGTTAGAATAATTTATATTCCTTTGAGTATAGATCAAGTAATGGGATTGCTGGGTAGTGCTGTTCAAATAGTAGTTCTGCTGGTAGTTCTCTGAGAAATCTCCAAACTGCTTTTCACAGTGGCTGAACTAATTCACCTTCCCATCAGCAGTTTATAAGCGTTCCCTTTTCTCTGCAACTTCGCCAGCATCTGTTATGTTTTTTACTTTTTAATAGCCATTCTGACCGCTATGAGATGGTATCTCATTGCGGTTTTGATTTGCATTTCTCTGATGGTTAGTCATGTTGAGGATTTTTTCATATGCATGTTGGCCACTTGTATGTCTTCTTTTAAGAAGTGTCTGTTCATGTTCTTTGCTTATTTTTTAATTTTTAAAGTTCTGGGATACATGTGCAGAACATGCAGGTTTGTTACATAGGTATACGTGTTCTTTGCCTATTTTTTAATGGGGTTGTTCTTTTCTTGTAAATTTAAGTTCCTCATAGATGCTGGATATTAGACAACTGTCAGATGCATAGTTTGCAAATATTGTCTCCCATTCTGTAGATTGTCTGTTTACTCTGTTGATAGTTTCTTTTGCTGCGCAGAAGCTCTTTAGCTTAATTAGGTCCCACTTGTCAATTTTTTTGTTGTTGTTGAAATTGCTTTTGGAGTCTTCACAAAGAAATCTTTGTGAAGGCCTATGTCCAGAATGGTATTTACTAGATTTTCTTCCAGGGTTTTCATAGTTTTAGGTTTATGTTTAAGTGTTTAATCCATCTTAAGTTGATTTTTTTAATGTGGTGTAAGGAAAGGGTCCAGTTCCAATCTTCTGCATGTGGATAGCTAATTATCCCAACATCATTTATTGAACTGGGAGTCCTGTCTTTCTCCTGAAAACAGCATACTAAGCTTAATAATCAAAGGAGAAATAAAATCCTTTACAGGCAAGCAAACCCTAAGGAAATCCATTACCACCATACCTGTCTTAAAAGAGGTCTTTAAGGGAGTGCTGAACATGAAAAAATAAGACTGTTATCTGCTACCACAAAAACAAACTTAAATACAAAGGTTAATCAATAAACGTAATCCATCATATAACAAAAACCATGTGATTATCTCAATAGATGCAGAAAAGGCCTTCAATAAAATTCAACACCCCTTCATGCTAAAAACTCTCAATAAACTAGGTATTGATGGAATGTATCTCAAAATAATAAGATCTGTTTATGACAAATCCACAGCCAATATCATACTGAAGGGACAAAAGCTGGAAACATTATCTTTGAAAACCAGCACAAGACAAGGATGCCCTCTCTCACTACTCCTATTCAACACAGTATTGGAAGTTCTGGCCAGGGCAATCAGGAAAGAGAAAGAAAGCGTATTCAAATAGGGAGAGAAGAAGTCATATTGCCTCTTTTTGCAGATGACATGATTGTATATTTAGAAAACCCCATCATCCCAGCCCCAAAACTCCTTAAGCTAAAAAGCAACTTCAGCAAAGTCTCAGGATAGAAAATGAATGTGCAAAAATTACAAACATTCCTATACTACAATAATAGACAAACAGAGAGCCAAATCATGAGTGAACTCCCATTCACAATCGCTACAAAGAGAATAATATATCTAGGAATCCAACTTACAAGGGATACGAAGGACCTCTTCAAGGAAAACTACAAACCACTGCTCAACGAAATAAAAGAGGACACAAACAAATGGAAGAACATTCCATGCTCATGGATAGGAAGAATCAATATTGTGAAAATGGCCATACTGCCCAAAGTAATTTATAGATTCAATGCCATCCCCATCAAGCTACCATTGATCTTCTTTACAGAATTAGAAAAAACTACTTTAAGCTTCATGTGGAACCAAAAAGAGCCCATATAGCCAAGACAATCCTAAGCAAAAAGAACAAAGCTGGAGCATCACATTACCTGATTTCAAACTATATTACAAGGCTACAGTAACAAAAACAGCATGGTACTGGTACCAAAATAGATTATATATATATATATATATATATACACCAATGGAACAGAACAGAGGCCTCAGAAATAAAGCCACACATCTACAATCATCTGATCTTTGACAAATCTGACAAAAACAAGCACTGGGGAAAGGATTCCCTATTTAATAAATGGTGCTGGGAAAACTGGCTAGCCATATGCAGAGAACTGAAACTGGACCCCTTCCTTACACCTTATACAAAAATCAACTCAAGATGGATTAAAGACTTAAACGCAAGACCTAAAACCATGAAAACCCTAGAAGAAAACCTAGGCAACACCATTCAGGACATAGGCATGGCCAAAGACTTCATGACTAAAACACCAAAAGCAAGGGCAACAGAAGCCAAAATTGACAAATGGAATCTAATTAAACTACAGAGCTTCTGTGCAGCAAAAAAAACTATCATCAGAGTGAACAGGCAACTTATAGAATGGGAGTAAACTTTTGCAGTCTATCTGACAAAGGGCTAATATCCAGAATTTACAAAGAACTTAAACAAATTTACAAGAAAAAAACAAGGAGTTGGTGAAGGATATGAACAGACACTTCTCAAAAGAAGATATTTATGCAGCAAACAAATATATGAAAACAAAGTTCATCATCATTCGTCATTAGAGAAATGCAAATCAAAACCACAATGAGATACCATCTCACTCCAGTTAGAATGGCGATCATTAAAAAGTCAGGAAACAACAGGTGCTGGAGAGGATGTGGAGAAATAGGAACACTTTTACACTGTTGGTGGGAGTGTAAATTAGTTCAACCATTGTGGAAGACAGTGTGGCGATTCCTTAACGATCTAGAACCAGAAATACCGTTTGACCCAGCAATCCCATTACTGGATATATACCCAAAGGATTATAAATCATTCTACTATAAAGACACGTGCACACGTATGTTTATTGCAGCACTGTTCACCATAGCAAAGACTTGGAACCACCCCAAATGCCCATCAATGATAGACTGGATAAAGAAAATGTGGCACATATACACCATGGAATACTATGCAGCCATAAAACAGGATGAGTTCATGTCCTTTGCATGGACATGGATGAAGGTGAAAACCATCATTCTCAGCAAATTAACACAGGAACAGAAAACCAAACAGCACACGTTCTCACTAATAAGTGGAAGCTGGACAGTGAGAATACATGGACATGGGGAGGGGAACATCACACACCAGGGCCTGTCACAGGATGGGAGACCAGGGCAGGGATAGCATTAGTAGATATACCTAATGTAGGTGATGGGTTGATAGGTACAGCAAACCACTATGGCACGTGTATACCTATGTAACAAATGTGTATGTTCTGCACATGTATCCCAGAACTTAAAGTATAATTTCAAAAAAGAGAGAAGAAATGGAGAAGATAATGCTAAAATAAAATAAAATAAAAATACAAAGATTAAAATTAGAGGCAGATTGTGGCTGAGTATCAAGAAAGAATATACAAAAGAGAAAGAGTATTAATTCATAAGGTGTCTTCATCTCATTCAACTAAAGACAGAAATGAACCTCATGCTGTGGTAGACATTATCAGTGTTCACCAATGTTCAGATCTTCCTCCTCGACACAGAAAACTCTACTTCCTAGCAAATTTTTAATTCTGATCAATGTTATTAGTGGAACTGCTGGGTGCCTCTTCCAGGCAGAAACATTTAATTACTGCTGTGAGACCCCCCAGAGTTCTGCTCTGCCATGTTGATCACATAAATATGATCATATGAGTTGGCAGTATCACAAGATGGGGTGCACCTTCATTCTGGGTCTCTGAGTGACTGTGAAGAGCAGAGACCTGCTGCTGGCCATCCTTGGGTGTGTTCTTGTTTCAAGCCACTGCAATTTGAGAATTATTTATTACAGCTCTATAACCCAACCTGCCTTGATTGATACAAATATTTACTTAATTACCATAATAGTGGATGAAAGATCTTTTTGATGTCATCATTATGACCAGCAAAGTTAAGCTGGGAACTTAGTATTATCAGTTCAAATCTATAATAGTTCATGTACCTTAATATGTATTGTTCATTTTAAATAATATTCATATATATATAATATACAGGTAGATAAAAGAAATGTTATAGATTATTTACCTAGACTAATAATTAGGGTTGTTTTGTTTGCTTTTTGGTTCCATATACTTTATTTTTAATGAGTAATATTTTTAAAAAATAGAGAGGATAGGGATAAAAATGTAAATTAATCCTTATCTAGTTAGTAACATGTATTCAGGGAGCAAAGGTGTTTTTCCTTTCTATTAGTAGAGTGAAGAAGATATTAAGTTAGCATACCATGCTTCTAAGCCATAAGATTTGTCAGACAATGTAAGGATACATGCTTAGACTGAAATATTTAGCTATTTTCTATTTGGCCTATACAGATTCATTATGCCTCCTTTACACTCTGCTCTTACCCAAAAGGCTTCTGTGAATTTAAGCTTCTGGTTGGGTTCAGCCAATGGGGAAGCTCAAGCAAAAAAGTAAAGATGCAAGAAAATGAAGTGAGGATATTATTCCTCTGATTCCCTTCTTGGAGGGGTCACTTAAAACTGGCAGCATCCATGAAGAGAAAGTCACTGGTTCTCTCAACCTGTTTCCTACCATCTATTCTCTGGCTTCTAGTAGCATCTCCCTTCCCTTGTTCCTTTCAGTGTAGGGGCAGTAAAATTCCACACCCTTAGCTCTGGATTCTTGCACTAACCTGTGGTTCTCCTATACCCACCAACATATTTGTAATTGATCCTTCATCAAATTTTCTAATTTGTATATGTCACCTATTTCTTTAGAGTTCTTTAGCTAAGAATCCTAACTGTGTCAGCTATCCTTTTGCTTACTAAACTAAAAGATTAATGAAGATAAACAATTTTGCCTGAAATAGAGGCCATGTAAACAATCAATTGCAGTGAGTTTTTCCCTACATAATAGGAAATCACATGAATATTTTTAAATACATATATATACATACCTACATCACACGTGTATGTACATATTATATATGCATATATACACGATATATGTATATATACAAATACATAATACACATTAACATGTGTATTATAGGCATATGTACAATATATTATATATTATGATATATTTATATGTATACTATGATGTGTATACATAAAGTTAACAACACAAATGCTGATATGAAGTCAATAAATCTTACGTCACATGATAAAGGAAAAAAGGAAACGAAGATATTTTCTTAGTAGAAGTGTATACATGCACAAACCTGTTTTTAACAAAAAGAGAAGGAAATACTCATGACAATTACAATCACGTGGTCGTAGCTGGTATTAATGACTACCTTCTTCTACTACCCATTCTGTATTCTCTGCCTTCAGCAAGCACTTCAGCAGGCCATGGTTTTTTTTCCTAGAAGAGTGGACCAATTCCTGAAGGGTCTGGGCCATCTGTAGTCCTTCCTGGATTGGGCTGTTGTAGTTTCCCATTGACTTTAATCACAGGACATGGTAATACTAAGAGACGCCCTAATGGATCTCCTGTATTCCATGCATACTCTTCATAGACTGATTTCATCTTGATAATCCAGGTCAATCACCCCAGCCAACACTGTAACTGCCTTCTTAGCCTGTTGGCTTAAAGGTAGAAGGAGCCCAGCCGGGCGCGGTGGCTCACGCCTGTAATCCCAGCACTTTAGGAGGCCGAGGCGGGCGGATCACGAGGTCAGGAGATCGAGACCATCCCGGCTAAAACGGTGAAACCCCGTCTCTACTAAAAATACAAAAAAAAAATTAGCCGGGCGTAGTGGCGGGCGCCTGTAGTCCCAGCTACTTGGGAGGCTGAGGCAGGAGAATGGCGTGAACCCGGGAGGCGGAGCTTGCAGTGAGCCAAGATCCCGCCACTGCACTCCAGCCTGGGCGACAGAGCAAGACTCCGTCTCAAAAAAAAAAAAAAAAAAAAAAAGGTAGAAGGAGCCCAAAGTATACAGGTGGCAATCTTAATTTCCAGCTTAATGGAATAATTGTTGTATTTCCTGGTGGCAGCATTCTCCCCTCTGGAACTAAGACCTCTAGGCCAGCAGAATGTAATGCTGAGGGAACAGAAGGCAAAAATTTTGCTAGTGGGTCACTATGGGTGAAGGTGAGTGGTGCCACTTCCACTTTCACCACTTGATTCCGGGACCCCTGAATCCTGGCTATGGGAGAAACAGTATCATATATTGGAAGCTGATTCAGAGCACACAGCCTCCTGGAGAACTTTGCCCCAGCCCTGCAGAGTATTGTCACCTAGTTGGTGTTGTAATTGTGACTTCAAAAGGCCATTCCACAATTCCATCAATCCAGCTGCTTTAGGATGATGGGGAATATGGTGAGACCAGTGAATTCCATTAGCATGAGCCCATTGCTACACTTTTTTAGCCATAAAGTGAGTGCTTTAGTCAGAGGCAATGCTGTGTGGAATAACATGACAGTGGATAAGGCATTTTGTGAGTCCACAGATGGTAGTCTTGGCAGAAGCACTGCATGCAGGATAGGTGGACCCATATCCGGAATAAGTGTCTAGTCCAGTGAAGACAAACTGCTGCCCTTTCCATAATAGAAGTAGTCCAATATATCAACCTGCCACCAAGTAGCTGGCTGATCACCCCGAGGAATGGTGCCATATCGAGGGCTCAGTGCTCGTCTCTGCTGCTGGCAAATTGGACACTCAGCAGTGGCCTTAGCCACGTCAGCCTTGGTGAGTGGAAGTCCATGTTGCTGAGCACATGTGTAACCTCCATCCCTGCCACCATGGCCACTTTGATCATGGGCCTATTGGGTCATGACAAGGGTGGCTGGTGAAAGAGGCTGAGTGGTGTCCACAGAACGGGTCATCCTAACCACTTGATTATTAAAATCCTCTTCTGCTGAGGTCATACAAATATCTTCACAGTTTTGGGCCACTCAGAGAAGTCCATCTACATACCTCTTCCCCAAATTTCTTTGTCACCAATTTTTCAATCATACTTCTTCCAAGTGCCTGACCATCCAGCCAAACCATTGGCTACAGCCCAGCAATCAGTATATAATCACATATCTGGCCATTTCTCCTTCCACGCAAAGTGTACAACCAGGTGCACTGCTCAAAGTTCTGCCCACTGGGAAGATTTTCCTTCACTGCTGTCCTTCAGGGATGTCCTGTAAAGGTGCTGTGGTGCTGGAGCTGTCCACTTTGGGGTGGTGCCTGCATATTGTGCAGAACCATCTGTGAACCAGGCCCTAGTCTTCTCTTCCTCTGTCAACTGATCATAGGGAACTCCCCAGGAGACCATCAGTGCAGGCTTGGGGAGAGAAGGCAGGGTGGCAGGAGAGGAGACCATGGGCATTTGAACCACTTCCTCATTAACTTATTTGTGCCTTCAGGACCTCCTCAAACCCAATCACATATACACCACTTCCATTTTATGATGAAATGCTGCTGTGCATGCCCTACTTCATGGCAAGATGGGTCAGAAACCACACAGTTCATAATAGGAAGTTCAGGATGCATGGTGACTTGATGACCTGTAGTCAAATATTCAGTTTCCATCAAAGCCCAGTAACAGGCCAAGAGCTTTGTCTCAAAAGGAGAGTAGTTATTTGCAGAAGATGGCAGGGCCTTGCTCCAAAATCCTAGAGGCCTCTGCTGTGATTCACCTATGGGGGCCTGCCAGAGGCTCCAAACAGCATCTTTATCTGCCACTGACACCTCAGGCATCATTGGATCTGCCGGGTCAAATGGCCCAAGTGGCAGAGCAGCTTGCACAGCAGCCTGGACCTGTTGCAGAGCCTTCTCCTGTTCTGGACCCCACTCAAAACTGGCAGCCTTTGAGTCACTTGATAAATGGGCCAGAATAACACACCCAAATGACAAATATGTTGCCTCCAAAATCCAAACAGGCCCACTAGGCATTGTGCCTCTTTCTTGATTGTAGAAGGGGCCAAATGCAGCAACTTATCCTTCACCTTAGAAGGAATATCTTGACAGGCCCCAAACCACTGGACCCCTAGAAATTTTACTGAGGTAGAAGGTCCCTGAATTTTACTCAGATTTATTTCTCATCATCTGGCATGTAAACGTCTCACCAATAAGTCCAGTTTGTTTGCTACTTCTCACTCACTGGACCCAATTAGCATAATATGATCAATGTAATGGACCAGTGTGGTATCTTGCGGAAGTGAAAGGCGATCAAGGTCTCTCTGAATAAGATTATGACACAAAGACGGAGAGTTGATATACTCCTGAGGTAGGATGATAAAGGTATATTCCTCACCCTGCCAGCTGAAGGCAAATTGCTTCTCGTGCACCTTATGGACAGGAATGGAGAAAAAGGCATTTGCCAAATCAATAGCTGTATACAAGGTACCAGGAGATGTCTTAATTTGCTTAAGCAATAAAACCACATCTGGTACAGCAACTGCAATTGGAGTCACCCCTCGGTTAAGCTGACAACAATCCATGGTCATTCTGAAAGATCCATCTGTCTTTTGCATGGGCCAAATAGAGTTGAATGGGGATGTGGTGGGAATCCCCACCCCTGCATCTTTCAAGTCCTTGATGGTGGCACTAATCTCTGTGATTCCTCCAGGGATGCAATATTGTTTTTGATTTACTATTTTTCTAGGTAGAGGCAGCTCTGATGGCTTCCAGTTGGCCTTTCCCACCATTATAGCCCTCATCCTACTAGTTGGGGAGCCAATATGGGGGTTGTACTAACTGCTAAGTATGTCTATACAAATAATGCATTATGGCACTGAGGAAATGACCACAGGATTAGTCCAGAGACCCACTGGACCCACATTAAGTCAGACCTGAGCTAAAACTCCAATTAATTACCTGACCTCTAAAAGCCCCTACTTTAACTGGAGGACCACAATGGTGTTTTGGGTCCCCTGGAATAAACATCAGCTCAGAGCCAGTGTCCAGTAGTCCCTGAAATGTCTGATCATTTCCCTTTCCCCAGTGCACAGTTACCGTGGTAAAAGGCCGGAGGTCTCCTTGGGGAAAGATGGGACAAAGATTCACTGCATAAATTGTCAATAATGTAGTGAGGTCCTTCCTCAAGGGGACCCCGCCTCCCCTTCATTCAAGGCTTCTTGTCTGTAAACTGGCTCAAGTCTGGAAACTGATTGAGGGGCTGTGATTCTCTGTTTTTATAATTCAAATTAGTTTGTTGCCCATTCAACCTGGAAGTTTGCTGCTTATAAAAATTAAATAAGAATGCAGTAGGCTTCCTATCAATTTCACTTCTAGGAAAACTGATTTATTAGCCAATGCCAGAGCTCTACATGAGAAAACTGATTTATTGGCCAAAGCCAGAGCTCTACATGAGTCAGACTATTCTGATGGCTGCTTTGCCTCTGCTGTCTATTATAGTAGCTACACCCACCTTGCCTTTGAAGGTTGAGTGCCACCACTTGCCACTTGGCCCCTGGCACCTCAGGATCAGTTATTCCTATTGCATTTAAATTTTGTAGTTGAGTGACTGCAGTTCCTACTGTAATATCTGGCATACAGAGAAGAGCAATCACAGAGCTCTTCAAGGATGCAGGTGCTCCCCTCACAGATCTGTTTCACAAAGTATTGGTAAAGGATATATCTTTTGGACTCTCCCATCTGGGATAAGTAGGTCAAAAGTGACTAATCCAGTCTGGCATCCCTATCCCTCAAGCCTTTAGATCCCTTCTTCTACAGTAAACAAAAAGAGATTAGGCATATCCAGCTCACTCACAATGGGCCATCTTTTAATCCATATTTCAGCTAAGCAAGTAAGCAAACTATTAGAACCTTTTTTTAACTCCCCAAGCTGCAAAATTAAATGCAGAATCCCTGCTTAGTGGGCCCAAATCAATAAATTCAGGCTGATCCACCTCTGTTCCTCCCACCATTATTGCACACCCTTAATATTCATTCCCATGCCTGTTCGCCAGATTTATGCTTATACAAATTAGAAAATTCAAGTAGTTCTTTTTGAGTGTAGCTGACCTCCTCATGGGTTACACTCTGAACCTCATCTCTAAGGGCCTGCTGGGACTTTAGTCTAGTTATAGGTCTAAAAGCAAACAGGGGTGTGGGGGTGGATCCTGAGGAGAATCAACATTGTCTTGCCTGGCAACTGCCTTGGGGGAGGCCATCACTGTTGCCTCAGACAGTGTACGGTTTATCTCTTCAGACAATGGTGGAAAAGCTGATGGAAGCATGGGTCAGGGAGAGGATGTTGCCACTACTGAGAATGTGGAAGCTGTTTCTTCTGGCAAAAAAAGGTTCATTACAGTCTATAAGCTCAGTGTCCCCAGCTTCATTGGGGTCCTCTCACACATCCCCATTCCAAGTTGCTGGGTCCCATTTTTTTCTGATCAATGCCCTCACTTTAACAGTAGACACCTGGCAAGGCTGTGCACACACCTTTCATGGCAGGTCAGCCACTCTCATGATAAGAGCCTGTATCTGATTTTCCACAATTCTAGCTCTTTCTCTACAGGAGATAAGATCCTCACTCAGGGCAATCTTGGAAGATTTGAGACTCAGTTTCTGCTTCTGAGGCAGGGAGTTAGAATCCCTGAGTTCATCATTTCCTTTCTTCACTTTGTCCAGTGAACTCAGGAGCAACCAACCAACTTCATTATGTTCCCTGGTTCTCCGCATATGGTAAAAGGTATTATGTATAGAGTCACTAAACTCCTTGCCTCTGATGATTAGTGAATCACAAGTGTCAAATGCATTTATTTTGCATAACTCTCTAAAGAGTTCATGCCAAGGACTATCAATGTTCTCCATACTATTAGGAGTCAAGTCCTTAGCATCTTTGGGTCTAATCACATTAAGCAGCTAACTCCAGAAACCCCAAAACCAATCAAAGAACTCCACCCTTAATATTCTGTTCCTCTAGAATCACTCCTAGTTTCAAATTCTGTATTAGTCAGAGTTCTCCATATCGACAGAACTAATGAGACAGATGTATATATATAAGGAGAGTTTATTAAGGACTATTAACTCACACAATCACAAGGTCCCACAATAGGCCATCTGCAAGCTGAGGAGCAAGGAAGCCAGTATGAGGCCAAAAGGTCAAGAACTTGTAGTCCAATGTTAGAGGGCAGGAAGCATCCAGCAAGGGAGAAAGATGTAGGCTGGGAGGCTAAGCCAGTCTAGTCTTTTCATGTTCTTCCTGCTTTTATTCTGGACTTGCTGGCAGCTGATTAGATTGTGCCCACCCAGATTAAGGGTGGGTCTGCCTTTCCTAGTCCACTGACTCAAATGTTACTCTCCTTTGGCAACATCTTCATAGACACACCCAGGAATAATACTTTGCATCCTTCAATCCAATCAAGTTGACACTCAGTATTAACCATCACACCACTACACCCATCTTATGAGAAGTGGGTCATTTCTGACCCATTTCAGATTAAAGGGAGTTTTTTAATCTGAAAGAAAATGATGATAAAGTGCCAAAAGAAAACAATTAAGAAATAAAACTCAGTAGTAATATTAGGTAAGCAGACAAATTCAGAATACTCTAATACTGTAATCATGGTATGTAACATTTATATCTCTAGTATGAAGACTAAAAGACAAATATATCAAAAATAATAATAACCACAGCAACCTGATGAGAGACAGACAATGTAAAAATATTTAAGGTAGCCGGGCGCGGTGGCTCACGCCTGTAATCCCAGCACTTTGGGAGGCCGAGGCAGGTGGATCACGAGGTCAGGGGATCGAGACCATCCTGGCTAACACGATGAAACCCCGTCTCTACTAAAAATACAAAAAATTAGCCGGGCGTGGTGGTGGGCGCCTGTAGTCCCAGCTACTTGGGAGGCAGAGGCAGGAGAATGGCATGAACCCGGGAGGTGGAGCTTGCAGTGAGCCCAGATCGCGCCACTGCACTCCAGCCTGGGCAACAGAGCGAGACTCCATCTCAAAAAAAAAAAAAAAAAAAAAAAAAAAATATTTAAGGTAGATAATAAAAAGTCAAAATGTATGGAGGATGAAGTTAAAGTGTATAGATTTTTAGTTTTTCCTTTGTTTCTTTTATTTTGTTGTAATCAAAGTTTGATTTTCATCAGTTTAAAATAACTTATAACATCTACAAAATGGTTTGTTTGGTTTTTTTGAGATGGAGTCTCTCTCTGTCATCAGGCTGGAGTGCAGTGGTGCGATCTCCCCCTAGTACTTCCCCAGAACTAGGGGGTGACACAGCCTGGTTTACAACTGACCCAGGGTGAGAAGAGTGCTGCAGTGGGAGCAGGCACACATCCACAAATGGCAAGCATGAGCACTGCCTGCAGAGGAACCTACTCCACAAGAAATTCTGGGAGTTGGCAACAGGGGCCAGACCCAAGAGGAAGCCCAAAACCCTCAGCAAGAGAAGTATCACTTGAGGGAGAGGCCAAGATGGTTGACTAGAAGTAGCTAGTGTGCATGACTCTCATGAAGAGGAATGGAACAAGTGAGTAAATACAATACCTTCAACAGAAACATCCAGGTACTCACACTGGGAATAATCAAGCAAACAACTTGACCCATGGAGAATGAAGAAAAGCAAGACAGCAGCCAGGCGCTGTGGCTCATGCCTGTCATCTCAGCACTTTGGGAGGCCAAAGTGGGCAGATCACTTGAGGTCAGGAGTTCAAGACCAGGCTGGCCAACATGGCAAAACCCCATCAATACTAAAAATACAAATTAGCTGGGCATGGTGGCGTGTGCCTGTGGTCACAGCTACTTGGGAGGCTGAGGCATGAGAATCACTTGAACCCAGGAGATGGAGGTTGCAGTGAATTGAGATAGCACCACTGCACTCCAACCTGGGAAACAAAGTGAGACTCTGTCAGAGGAGAGAGGAGAGGAGGGGAGGGGAGGGGAGGAGAGGCAGAACAACAGCCCATCTGGGAGCAACCCAGAGCCAGGGGAACCTCCCCCACCCAAAGAAGCAATGAGTGAACATGTGACCCCGGGAAACCATGCTTCTCCTATGGATCTTTGCAACCCTAGGGTCAGGAGAGCTCCTTGTGAACCCACACCGCAAGGGCCTTCAGTCTAACAGACAGAGCTATGTGGAGTCTCGGCAGAGCAGCTGCTCAGGCATGTTTGGAGACCCTGGAGCCTTAGATACTCAGGCTGTCCAGGAAAAGTAGCTGCAGCTCTGGCTAAGTGTGAGTTTAGACCCCCATATATACCCCTAGGAAAAATGCTAAATCCAGCGGGCTGAGCTGTGACAGTCTGTAGGCCCCACTTGCATGGCACCTCACAAGATAAGACCCACTGGCTTGGAATCCCAGCCAGCCACTGGTAGCGACATTGTACCTCCCTAAGAAGGAGCCCCTAGGGGGATGGGGGGAGGGGGCGGGCTGCCATCTTTGCTGTTTAGGTGCCTTAGCTGTTCCAGTCTTCAGGCTTTGAAGATTCTGAGTAGACCAGGGGCAGAAGGTAACTCACAGCACAGCTGCTCTATCAAAACATGGCCAGACTGCTGCTTTAAGCAGGTGCCCAATTCCATTCCTCCTCACTGGGAGGGACCTCCCAACCGGGGCCTCCAGCCATGCCTGTCGGTGTTCTCCGGTCAACAAAGAGTTGAATTCTCTCTGGGACAGTGCTCCCAGAGGGAGGGGTGGGCTGCCATCTTTGTTGTTTCTGCAACTTAGCTGTTACAGCCTTCAGGCATTGGAGAGTCTGAGCCGACTGGGGAGAAAAGGGATGCCCCAGCACAGCATAGTTGCTCTACAAAAACGTGGCCAGACTGCTGCTTTAAGTAGGTCCTGGATCCCATTCTTCCTCGCTGGGCAGGACCTCCCAAGTGGGACCTCCAGCCACCCTGTCAGTGTTCTCCAGCCAACAAATATTTGTAAGCTTCCTGGGACAGAGCTGCTAGAGTAAGAGGCTGGTCATTACTTTTACTGTTTGGGTGACTCAGTCATTCCAGCCTTTGGGCTTTAGAGTGTCTGAGGTGACCAGGTGCTGAAGTGAACCCCCAGCCCAGCACAGCTGCTCTATCAAAAGGTGGCCAGACTGCTTCTTTAAGTGGGTCCCTGATCCTGTTCCTCCTCACTGGGTGGGACTTCCCAAATGGGGTCTCCAGTCACATCCTATTGGTTCCTTTGGGCCAGCAACAGGCCTATACCTCCCTGGGAAAAAGCTCCCACAGGAAGGTGCAGGCTGGCATCTTTGCCATTTTGCAGACTTCACTGGTGATACTTCCAGGTTCTAGAAAATCCAAGGCAACTACGGACTGGAGTGGGCCCTAAGCATTTCACAGCAGCCCTACGGAAAAGTGGCCAGATGGTTACATGGGTGTCTGTTTCCGTATTTCCTCATCTGGCAGGTCCTCCAGGCCTGGGCCTCCAGACACACCCAACCAGAGCTATTAAGCCAGTAGCAACCCAGCAATTCCCTGTACAGAGCCTCCAGGGGCAAATGAAAGCCTCTCTGCTACACCCTCTGCAGTGGAACTGCCCTTACCATCCTTGGAATAATGAAGGAGCAAAAACCCTAAGTACCTTATCCACACCTCCAACAAGCTGCAGTTGACCCAAGGAGAGGAGGCCAGTCCATCTCCCATGGGTCCCATACACACCCCGCTGCTCATCACCAGACAGCGAACCCCTGGCTTGGGCCCACAGCACAGACCTTCCATCCTGATCTGACTGCACTAAGCAATTGCTGACCTGCATCATTCTGGTGTGGAGCCCCCAGGAGACAAGCAAAGAATCCTTGGCCACAACTATTACTAAGATCTCTTTCTCTGCTGCCTACAAATCGGGGAAGGAACATAAACACTGAGATCACCCCAGAGCTGCAGTGGGTAGTCCAGGAGTGCCAAGTCATGATCTACAGCCAGCACTCGAGGGGGAGAAGAACCCACACTGTCAGAACATTAAGAGGGAACATGGCCAAACTGTGAGAAAACATAGGGGAGCCACAGAACCAAACAAGAGTCTACCAATTGACCAATAAGCCTAAGTGCCACCTGCTGGATCACACCTCGAAGCTTCAACACCAAAAATACCTCACTAACATACCCACCTCTAAAACCAGAGACAAAAAGGCAGCTTCAAATAAACACTTTGCACAATGCCTTGGTCCAGTGAATACACCCAGAAAAAAAAAAAAAGTCTATTGACTATCCTCACTCTACACTGAAGTTAAAGGAACACCCACATGCAGAGATGAGAAAGAAGCTGTGAAAGAACTCCAGTGACTCAAGTGGACAGAGTGTTTTATGTCCTCCAAATGACTGCTACCAGATAATACAAAGACACACTTAACCACACAGACCAGTGTCACTGTAAAGCCATACAAACCATACAAAGAGGCTAACATAATCACCAGCTAACAGTACAGTGACAGGACCAAATCCACACATATCAATAGTAACCTTGGGTATAAAGGGGCTAAATGCCCCACTTAAAAGTCACAGAGGAAAGTGGGATAAAAAGGCAAAACCCAATGGTATGCTGTTTTCAGAGACTCATCTCACATGTAATGACACCCATAGGCCCAAAATAAATAGATGGAGGTAAATCTACCAAGCAAATGGAAAACAGAAGAAAGCAGGGTTCCAGTCCTAATTTCAGAAAAAAAACCATACCTCACACCAACAAAGATAAAAAAGACAAAGACGGGCATATAATGGTAAGTGATTCAGTTCAACAAGATGATCTAACAATCCTAAATATATATGCATCCAATACAAGAGCACCCAGATTCATAAAGCAAGTTCTTAGAAATCTAAAAAGAGATATAGGCTCCCACACAATAATTGTGGGAGACTTCAACACTCCACTGACAGTATTAGACAGATCATTGAGCCATAAAATTTACAAAGATATTAAAATTAACAAAGATACTAAAATTAACAAAGGACCAAACCTCGACCTTGGACAAAATGGATCTAATAGAATTTTAAAGAACTCTCCACCCCAAAACAATAGAATATACATTCTTCTCATCACCACAGGGCACATACTCTAAAATCAGCCACATAATTGGACATAAAACAATCCTGAACAAATGTAAAAGAAATGCAATCATACCAAACATACTCTGAGACCAGAGCACAATAAAAATAGAAGTCAGCACAATTAAAATTATTCAAAACCATGCAATTACATGAAAATTAGACAACATGCCCTGAATGACTTTTGGGTAAATAATGAAATTAAAACAGAAGTCACCAAGTTCTTTGAAAATAATGAGAACAAAGATACAACATACCAGAATATCTTGGACACAGCTAAGGCAGTATTAAGAAAGACACTCATAGCACTAAATAACCACATCAAAAAGTTAGAAAGATCTCAAATTAACAACACAATCTCACAACAAAGAATTAGAGAAAGAAGAACAAATCAACCTTGCAGCTAGCAGAAGACAAGAAATGCAAAAATCAGAGGTGAACTGAAGGAAATCAAGCCAAGAAAAACCATTCAAAAGATCAATGAATCCAGGAGTTGTTTTAGAAAATAAAATATATAGACCACTAGCTAGATTAACAAAGAAGAAAAGAGAGAAGGTCCAAATAAACACAATTAGAAATGTTGAAGGGAATGTTACTACTGACCCCATAGAGATAAAAACAACCATTAAAAACTACTGTGAACACATCTATGCACACAAACTAAAAAATCTAGAAGAGATGGGTAAGTTTCTGGACACATACACCCCCCTGAGACTGAGCGTGGAAGAAATTGATTCCCTGAACATACCAATAATGAGCTCTGGAATTGAATCAGTAATAAATAGTCTACCAACCATGAAAAATCCAGAACCTGATAGATTCACAGCTGAACTCCACAAGATGTACAAAGAAGAGCTGGTTCCATTTCTACAAAAACTATTTGAAAAAATTCAGAAGAATGGACTCCTCCCCAACTCATTCTATGAGGCCACTATCATCTTGATACAAAAACCTGGCAGAGACATGACCAAAAAAAGAAAACTTCAGGCCAATATCCTTGATGAACATCAATGCAAAAATCCTCAGCAAAATACTTGCAAACCAAATCCAGCAGCACATCAAAAAGTGAATGCACCATGATCAAGTAGGCTTCATCCCTGGGAGGCAAGGTTTGTTCAACATATGCAAATTAATAAATGTGATTCAACACATAAACAGAACTAAAGACAAAAACCACATGATTATCTCAACAGATGCAGAAAAGATACATTCAATAACCCTCCAAGAAAAGATACATTCAACAACCCTCCATGTTAAAAACTCTCAATAAATTATTGAAAGAACATACCTCAAAATAATAAGAGCCACCTATGACAAACTCACATCCAACATTATAATGAATGGGCAAAAGTTGGAAGCATTCCCATTGAAAACCAGCAAAAGACAGGATGCCCCCTCTCACCACTTCTATTCAACATAATATTGGAGTCCTAGCCAGAGTAATCAGGCAAGAGAAAGAAATAAAGGGTGATATGGTTTGGCTGTGTCCCCACCCAAATCTCATCTTAAATTATAGTTCCTATAATCTCCAGGGGTCATGGGAGGGACCTAGTGGGAGGTAACTGAATCACAGGGGCGGTTATTCCCATGCTGCTGTTCTCATTATAGTGAATGGGTTCTCAGAAGATCTGATGGATTTATAAGGGGCTTTTCCTCACTTTTGCTTGGCACTTCTCTTTCCTGCAGCAATGTGAAGAAGGATGTGTTTGCTTCCCTTTCTGTCACGATTGCAAATTTCCTGAGGCTTCCCCTGCATGCTGAACTGTGAGTCAATTAAACTTTATAAATTACCCAGTCTCAGGTATATCTTTATTAGCAGCATGAGAATGGACTAATACAGTAAATTTGTACTGAGGGAGTGGGGCACTGCTATACAGATATCTGAAAATGTGGAAACAACTTTGGAACTGGGTATCAGGCAGAGGTTGGAGCAGTTTGGAGGCCTCAGAAGAAGACAGGAAAATGTAGGAAAGTTTAGAACTTCTTAGAGACTTGGAGGGCCCAGAAGATAGGAAGATGTGGGAAAGTTTGGAACTTCTCAGAGACTTGTTGAATGACTTTGACCAAAATGCTGATAGTGTTATGGACAATCAACTGAGGTAGATTCATGGAGATAAGGAACTTTCTGGGAACTGGAGTAAAGGTCACCTTTGTCAGGCTTTAGCAAAAAGACGTGGCATTTTGCCTCTGCCCTAAAGATGTGTGGAATTTTGAACTTGAGAGACATGACTTAGAGTACCTGGCAGAAGAAATTTTAAGAGGCAATGAGTTCAAGAGGAAGCAGAGCATAAAAGTTTGGAAAATTTGCAGCCTGATGATGTGATAGAAAAGAAAAACCCATTTACTGCAGAGAAATACAAGTCTGCAGCAGAAATTTGCAGAAGTAATGAGGAACTGAATGTTAATCACCAAGAAAATGGGGGAAATGTCTCCAGGGCATGTCAGAGACCTTCAGGGAAGCCCCTTCCATCACAGGCCTGGAGGCCTAGGAGGGAAAATGGTTTTATGGACCAGACCCAGGGCTCCTGTGCTCTATGCAACTTTGGGACATGATGCCCTGCCTCCTAGCTGCATCAGTTCCAGCCGTGGCTAAAGGGAGCCAACATACAGTTCAGGCCATTGCTTCAGGCCCAGGATTTGGCAGCTTACACATGGTATTGGGCTTGTGGGTACACAGAAATCAAGAATTGAGGTTTAGGAACCTCTGCCTAGATTTCAAAGGATATATGGAAATGCTTGACTGTCTAGGCAGAAGTTTGCTACAGGGGTGGAGCCCTCATGGACAATCTCTGCTAGGGTAGTGTGGAAAGGAAATGTGGGGTCAGAGCCCCCACACATAATCCCCACTGGGGCACTGCTTGGTGGAGCTGTGAGAAGAGGGCCACCATCTTCCAAATCCCAGAATGGTAGATACACCAACTTCTTGCACTGTGCACCTGGAAAAGCCAGACACTCAACACCAGCCCATGAAAGCAGCCAGGAGGGGTGTTGTACCCTGCAGAGCCACAGACGCAGAGCTGCCCAAGGCCATGGAAGCCCACCTCTTGCATCAGTGTGCCTTGGATGTGAGACATGAAGTCAAAGAAGATCATCTTGAAATTTTAAGGTTTAATGACTGCCCTATTCAATTTTGGACTTGCATAGGGACTGTAGCCCCTTTTTTGGCCAATTTCTGCCTTTTGGAATGGGTGTATACTTACTGAATGTCTGTACTCCCATCGTATCTAGGAAGTAACTAAGTTGCTTTTGATTTTACATGCTCATAGGCAGATGGAACTTGCCTTGTCTCAGATGAGACTTTGGACTTGGACTTTTGAGTTAATGCTGGAATGAGCTAAGACTTTGGGGGACTGTTGGAAGGGTATGATTGTGCTTTTAAATGTGTGGACATGAGATTTGGGAGGGGCTAGAGATGCAATGATATGGTTTAGCTGTGTCCCCACCCAAATCTCATCTTGAATTGTAGCTCCCATAATCCCCACATGTCAGGGAGGGACCCAGTGGGAGGTAATTGAATCATGGGGGTGGTTAATCCCATCCTGCTGTTCTTATGATAGTGAGGGAGTTCTCATGAGAGTTCCAATGGTTTTATGAGGTGCTTTTCCCCCTTTTGCTTGGCACTTCTCTTTCTTGCTGCCATGTGAAAAAGGATATGTTTGCTTCCCCTTCTGCCATGATTATAAGTTTCCTGAGGCCTCCCCCAGCCATGCTGAACTGTGAGTTAATTAAATCTCTTTCCTTTATAAATTGCCCAGTCTCGAGTATGTCTTTATTAGCAGTGTGAGAATGGACTAACACAAAGGGCATGCAAATAGAAAGAGAGGAAGTCAAACAATCTTTATTTGCAGACAACATAATTCTGTATCTAGAAAACCTCAGTGTCTCAGCCCAAAAGCTCCTCCAGCTGATAAGCAACTTCAGCAAAGTTTCAGGATACAAAATCAATGTGCAAAAACCACTAGCATTCCTGTACACCAACAACAGCCAAACTGAGAGCCAAATAAAAAAGGCAATCCCATTCACAATTGCCACTAAAAGAATAAAATACCTAGGAATACAGCTAACCAGGGAAGTAAAATATCTACAATGAGAATTACAAAATACTGCTCAAAAAAAAAAAATCAAAGACATAAACAAATGGAAAAACAGTCAATGCTCATGCATAGGAAGAATCAATATTAAAATGACTATACTGCCCATAGCGATTTATAAATTCAATGCTATTCCTATCAAACTACCAATGACATTCTTCACAGAACAAGAAAAACAAACTATTTAAAAATTTCTATCAAACCAAAATGAAACCCTGAATAGTCAGGTGCAAAAAAAACAAAGCTGAAGCCATTACATTACTTGACTTTAAACTATACTACAAGGCTACAATAATCAAAACAACATGGTACTGGTACAAAAACAGCCACATAGACCAATGGAACCAAACAGAGAGCCCAGAAATAAGGCTGCACATCTACAACCATTGATTTTCAACAAAGCTGACAAACAATGGGGAAAAGACTCTCTATTCAATAAATGGTGCTGGGATATCTGGCTAGCCATATGCAGAAGATTAAAGCTGGACCCCTTCCTTACACCATACACAAAAATCAACTCAAGGTGGATTAAAGACTTAAATGCAAGCCGAGCACAGGGGCTCATGCCTGTAATCCCAGTACTCTGGGAGGATGATGTGGGTAGATCACTTGAGGCTAGGAGTTTGACTAGCCTGGCCAATATGGCAAAACTCCACTGAAAATACAAAAAAAAAAAAAAAAAAAAAAAGCTGGACATGGTGGCACATGCCTGCCTATAATCCCAGCTACTCAGGAGGCTGAGGCACAAGAATCCCTTGAACCCAATGGGTGAAGGTTGAGAGGTTGCAGTGAGCTGAGATCACACCACTGCACTCCAGCCTGGGTGAGAGAGTGAGACTCTGTCTCGGCGGGAGGGCAGGGAGACGGGGTGGAGACTGAAATCTAAAACACAAAACTAAAAAACCCTGGTGACAAACTAAGCAATATCATCCCGAACATAGGAATAGGCAAAGATTTCATGACAAAAGACACCAGAAGCAACCACAACAAAAGCAAGAATTGACAAGTAGGATCTAATTAAACTTCAGAGCTTATGCACAGCAAGAGAAACTATCAACATAGTAAACAGAAAATTCAAAGAATGGGAGAACATGTTTGTAAACTGTGCATCTGACAAAGGTCTAATATTCAGCATCTATAAGTAACTTAAACAAATTTACAAGAGAAAAACAACCCCACTAAAAAGTAAGCAAAGGACATGAACAGACATTTCTCAAAATAAAACATAAATGTAGGCAACAATCATATGAAAAAAAGCTCAGTATCACTGACCATTAGAGAAATGTGAATCAAAACCACAATGAGATACTATCTCACACCAGTCAGAATGGATATTAATAAAAGGCAAAAAATAACCGGTGGTGGTGACGTTGCAGAGAAATGAGAACACTTATACACTGTCGGTGGGAGTGTAAATTAGTTCAACTATTGCAGAAACCAGTACGCAAATTCCTCAAAGGGCTAAAGGCAGAACTACCATTGGACCCAGCAATTCCATTACTGGGTATATACTCAAAGGAATATAAATCACTCTACCATACAGACACATGCACATGAATGTTCTTTGTAATACTATCCACAATAGCAAAGAGATGGAATCAACATAAATGACCATAAATGGCAAACTGAATAAAGAAAATGTGGCACATATACACCATGGAAAACTACACAGCCTTAAAAAAGAATAAGATTATGTCTTTTGTGGGAACATGGATGGAGCTGGAAGCTATTATCCTTAGCAAACTAATGCGAGAACAGAAAACCTAATACTGCATGTTCTCCCTTATAATTGGGAACTAAGTGATAAAAACTTATGAACACAAAGAAGGAAACAATAGACACTGGGATCTACTTGACGGTGGAGGGTGGAAGGAGGGAGAGGAGCAGAAAAGATAACTATTGGGTACTGAGCTTAATACCTAGGTGATGAAATAATATGTACAACAAACCCCCATGATACATGTTAACCTATGTTACAAACCTTCACATGTACCCCCAAACCTACAAGTTTTTTCAGAAAGTGGGAACCTGACACTTAAACAACTTCTCACAGGGTCTGGGGCAGAGTTGGGAGGATCACCTGGAAAGAGTTTTAGACATGCCATTATTCATCTCTTACCCCTAAACCAACTAAATGAGTATCTCTGGGGATGGGATCTGACAGTGATCTTTCAAAAAAAGCTCTCCTAGATAATTCTAATGTAGCCAGAGATGAAAAACTCCTGCTCTAGACAAGTAGTAGTTCAAAGTGTAGTTCGTAGACCAGTATCACCTGGGTAATTGTAGAAATGCAGATTCTCAGGCCCCACCCAGCTCTGCTGAAACAGAAGCTCTGCAGGTGGGATAATTTGTGTCTTAACAAGCCCTCCAGGTGATTCTGATGCTTGCTCAAGCTGGAGAACTACTGATTTAGATAAGTCATGTCAGACAAAAAAAAATCAGGAAGGCAGGCAGGTTGAAATTGCTCAGGTTGGAAGTCCACTGTGGTTCCCTTTTGTACTTTAAAGAAGAATGAAAATTGCACATCGCTGTCCCCCATACAGCTTTTGAGAGGGGAGAGCATCTAACCTTCCACCTTTATCTCTCAAAGAGCCAGGGAAAGACATAGACCTCTTGGTTCCAACTGGATTTTAGGATTGTAAATAAAATGCAGAGACTAATAATGCAAAGTTGTCTGACCGACAGAAAGGACAGCTGACCCTTGTGCCTAAGAGGGAGGTAGGGAGAGAGGAAGGGAGGGAGGGCAAGGGCTTTCCAGACCAGAAAAGAATAACCTGAAAATAAAATGACTAAAAGTAAAGAAAAGAAAAATATCATCTATATCAAGAAACTGCAGATGGAAGTTTCCCTACACTGGAGCTTCCTAAGAAACCCACAAAGCAGCCTGGGAGAGGAAGAGCATTTGGGCAACTGCCATAGAGGGGCAGCAACACCAGCTCATTCAGTTTAGACTCTCCTGTCCCATTCCCTCTCCTCTTTCCCTTCCTCTCCCTCACCCTGCAAGAGCCAGAAACAACTTCAAGGATAGGGATGAAGGGGTGAAAAATCCAAGAGGGATCATCAAAGGGTAAATTATGCTCCTCTTCCCTATTGTGGGTTGCCTTCCAATCCTGGGGCGGGAACAGACTGGGAAAGGGGAAAAAATTTAATTGGGTAAGAGATAGAGGTTTGTATTTAGATAAAACCAAAGTTTCTAATATCTGAAAGTGAGACTTTCTCAAAGTTTCTAATATCTGAAAATGAGACTTTCTCCAATTCCTGAATATGATTAGAAAACTATGGGATCTGTCTGAAATCATTTCCCAGGATGAAGAAGGCAGAGCAGACAAAAAGAGTTCAAGAGCAAGGTAAAAATAAATAATGAAATAAAGTTTCTTCCTGCCAGCATCTTACCAATAAATAAAATAGTTACATGGAAACATTTCTAGATCCAGCCCAGAAGACACGTGTCCCCTGGTTCTCTTGAGGAAAGAAAATTAACATAGAGAAAATTAACAAAGAAAAATAACATACACTCAGTATATGCCTTGAGGAAAGATATAGGATATGGGGATGATTCATATATTCCAAATCTTACTGATAAGGAAACTGACACTCTGACCAAGGAGGCAGCTGATATTAATAATGGCGATAGCCTTTGCTAAGTGCTATGCGCCAGCTGTGTGCTGAGAGTCTTGCAGGCATATTTCACTGAATCCTACAATAACCCTGGGAGGTAAGTTCTATTATTATCCCCAGCACAGGAAGCCAAACTCAGGTCTTTCCTGTATCCTGCTTCACCATCCTAGGAAGCCTGGTGCTCTGGGAAGCCAAAGAGAAGCTTAAGGCAAGAAATCTCATTTTGCTTTCAATCTATAGTGAGGAAAAGGTACCATAGGCACCCCTAGAGTTAAAGAAAATGTGTTTTAGATTTAATGCCCACTTTTCTTTTCATGGCAGGAGCAGATCCTTGCAACAAAATTACAGAAGAGAGTGGATTTTACTAATTATCCATTTGTAGCCCAAAATTACTTGATTCATACCAATAGTTACTGGGCTGTTTCAAAAATACTCATTTTCTCAATTTAAAGCTGTCAGACACAAACTCTTCAGTTGCAGCATGGTATAAAATTAACCACCAAGCACATTTCTACTGCCAAGAATAAAGACTTAGAACCACAAAATGTGGATGGCTTACTGTGCTATAGTTAACTTTATAGTCAGCATTATTAGTTTCCTTCCCAAGGAGGAGCACAATATTAGGCTTGGACATATTGCTCAGTGGCAGGTAGTCTCAGAGAAATGTATTCCCAAGGAGTCATAGAAACTGTACTAGCTGAAGGAGAATAGTTATAGTATACAAGTGCACAAATTACAGAAGTAAGAAGGACAAGGATGCGGACAGCAAAACAATCGTTCCAGTTTTCTCAGGGAATAGAATGTGATATTTGTAAATCTTAGCTATGATGGTACTGAAATCCACAAAGACACCTTCAGTTACCACCTCAGCCTTTTATTTTTATCTGCATGGCAAGGTTACATTCTGTTGTTTCAGTAAAGAAATGCATTTTTCAATTTTATAGGCTATGTATTAAGAAATCTTACTGCATAGAGACTTCAGTTAGTTTTTAGAAATCAGTTTTATAACCAATTCTGCATCCTCTCTATCTTTATGCTGAGCTTGTTTTGAGTAAATGTATTGCGTAGCCAATACCTTTCATTCCTTTGCTGTGTTAGGATTTGTTTTCTGGGTTCTTAACACATAAGACATAGTGTCATACACCATTGTGGAATTGGTTTTCAAGGCGGGCAATAAGAAAATGGAGGATTTGGAAAGGACCTAAAGGAAGCAAGAAACTGTCAGATTTCTTAAATATTTTTAACCTCTCCGAGTTTGCTCATTTTATTATCCCCTTTCTTTACCCCTTTGGATGATTCGTTATTAAACAATTAAAATAAAAAGATCGCGTATTCTGTCTTTGGGTACAGAAAGCAAAAGGGAAGGACTGCATCTGAGTCCTCAGCCAGATTCATTGAGACAGGGCACCTCCCAACCCCTTGCACCAAACACACACAAGAAGTAAGAAGTTAAGGAGTAGCATCATCTAATGAGACAAGACTCCAGGCTCAGTTAAAACAGAAGACATAAAAGGAAGAAAGCCAGAGCCCTTGGGACAATGTGGGCCATGTTGTGGGAGATGAGGGGAGGTCACAACAGAGCAGTGACAAATGCACAATCCAGAGGACTGCTGATCCTTGTTCTGCCTTCCCCTTTGGGGGCGGTAAGGATGGGGTTGTGTTTAGGCAAAGCACCGTACCACTGTAGCATATGCCAGACCAGCAGGGTCATGTTCAACAAAATGTTTTCAATTGACTTTGTCTTGAAGAAGGTATAACCAAAACACTTTTCCCTATTTAGAGAATTTGATAAAGAATGTCCAGGCATTTATTATTCTCTGGTATTGTGGGCCCATCAAGCCAAGCCAGAAACTGTCCCCTTAAACTAAAGAACTAAAGTGATTCTCCACAACTTGGTATGCTGAGCAGTTTTGAAATCAAAGTAAAACAGAATAGAAAAGTAGTTAAAAGGAGAGATTACTTGAGTCATCACATAGAAACGTTTCCTACAAGGTAGGCCTTTTTTGTTTGTTTGTTTGTTTAATTTCCCTCTCCAGAGCAAGCCCTCAAGGGGAAAGGAAAAAAAAAGATTTGTGTACACTGCTTATATTCAGACATTCACATTTGGAATATCTATTGAAACTACAACAAAATGATCTCAGAAACTTGGACAAACACTGCAATTTAAAAAATAATGACTGCTCCTTCCAAACCAATCTCAGAGGCAACAAGGAGTATAGCACTGCAAGGAGTCATTCTGCAGTTCATAAAAACAATTCTGCTTTATGAAAATGGGTGATATAAGAAACAAGCAAACATTCTCTATTTCTGAAGCATCCACATTTCCTATGGTGGTATGTATATTAACCTGGATTATTCCCTTTTTAAGTAACATACTGTTACCTAAATTTGTTTCTTTTCTTCTTTGTCATATTTTTCTTATGCCACATTTGCACCGCTACAGTACAGAAACACCATGCTAGTAATTACATGTTCCTTACTATGTGTTTCTTCTCTGTTATGGGTTAATTCTTCTGATATTTGTCATGAAAACCTGGAAAATCGGATTTATGTTCATGGAAATAGAAGAAGAATGTTGGAAATGTCTGTCATCAATCCCAGATGTTCTGTCTGCTGAGATTCATAAAGCTGAAAGAGAATTTCAAGAAACTATTTGGGGATTTTAAAAACAGAATTTTATGTGGTCTGATATAATTTACTAATGTTCCAGAAGGGCAGATTACCTGAACAAATAGGTAGTTTCTCTTGAGCTCCTAGAGTTATTACTGATAAGACTGAACTAACTTTTGTGTGAGAGAATACACTGTTTATACATCAAAGGAATTCTCATGTATGCCTTGTGAGTACCAGAAAACAAGTGTCACACACCACCGAACACTTCAAATAATTATTGTATCAAAAGAGAGAGATGACACCAAAATTTCAACCAATTAAAAACATTAAAATACAAAACATGTAAGAGTAGCCATTGTTGTTTCCTACATGTACTGGTGATGGAGAATGGAATATAAAATAAAATATGATGAAAGTCAGCTTTATGCATGGTGGATCTTACTACTCATGATCCTGCTCAGTTTCTCCTCAATTAGAAAAGTAAATTATTGTTTGGTCTACCAAATACTGTTTGTCTCGAGGAAACTGAAATAGTCCACAATGATTTGGTTCAGCCCCCTTGCTGTTCAGATGTCCATACTTAAATAATCCAAAATATGTAGTTGTTCATCTAATTTTTAAAGCCCCTCAGAAATAGAAATCTTATAATCTCTTCATTATAATAAGATGCTTCCTTCATATAAATTTACTCTTTCTGTTTACGATTAAACCCACTGCAGTGAAAGTAGATCTTACCATGGCAGCAGATAAGACTTTTTGTTCATTGATAAAGAATCAACAATACATGATAGGGAGCAAAGAGACAGCAGTAGGAAATAAAGAGAAATATTAAGACCATCTCATGAACACATGGCCTACAGCAGTGGTTCTCAAACTGTAGCCTATATCAGAATCACTTGGAGAACATATTAAACAGATTGTTGGCCCCACCCCCAGAGTTTCTAATTTAGTAAGTCTGATGTAATATACCATCTAAAAAGTTTGCATTTCTAAAAATTTCCCAGTGATGCTAACATTGCTAGTCCGGGGACCACATTTTGAGAACCACTGACCTATAATATTTGTTCCTGCCAAAAGCCCTAACCTCCTGAGACACCCCTCCAAAAAATGTGTACAGTATAAAGATATGCAATTTTTTTATTTTTCGTTTCACCTAGAAACGTTTTTTACATGCTATAGGGATTAGGTCTGTTTCCCTAACATTTGTTTCCCTCATGATGGAGCTAATTACTCTCTTCCAAAAAGATCCAAAGTGTTAAATGGTTATTTCCCAGACTGGAGCGTCATCTAGAAGATGGTATTTACATTTCAAGGAGGAATAAGCAGGCCTCAGAACTTGGAGACATTTCTTGGTGGTAAAAATCAAGACACACAGGGCATTCTGGATGCTGGAGAGATTTCACTTATAAACCAAAGAATTGGAGTAAGGATTCAGGTCCATTATGTTTTCAAAGAGGCCCTTTCAAGAGGGGAAGGGACTGCTGCTACCTCCTTCCCCATTATAAGCAGATAAAAATCATTTTTCTTGTTCTTTACCTCTGCAGTCTTCAGCTACTCCAGCAGAACATTTGGCCTCGCTTTTATCACATCATCCCAGAGGTGAAGTCTGGGGCAGCAGGGGCTGACATGCTTAAGAAATCTCTCTCTGATCCAGTATGCCTTGTGTGTGCACTCAGGATAAGTTAATAAAAATTAATATTAAGAACCCAATAGCAGCCCAGTCCTAAATCACCTCTGCTATGATTAGGATGCCTAACATTTCCTGATAAGAATCAGGACTGCACCCAATTGATTCTGTAAAAAGAGTATTAAATTGTATGCAAATTATTTCTATCTGGTGGAAAAAAATTACCCCATATGTTATCATTTATTGCCTTTAAGGCCATGAACAAGTTTCCAATCTAATTTAGTAATCTCATCTTAACATTCTCTTATTGAATTTCCTATAAATACCCAGTTTCTCAAATACACTTGGAATCAGCTTTCTATATTACTGATTACTGCACTAATTGATGAGTTGAGTGAAATCATTGACAGGTGCTTATATTTATATGAGTTACGTTTTGACCTATTTGAAAAATACATTTACCAGATGGTCCCACAGTCATCACGCCAACAGAGTGTCTAGCAGATGTAGGTGGTCTGTGCTGTGTTTGCATCTCTGCCAACTAATCATGGAAATTCTGTCTCTTCTCTTGACCAAAAAAAAAAAGCAGACTCAGCTTACTTGAGACATCACCATCATCTCTTCTTTAATATTTATATGCACTTTACCCTGCTTGAAATAGGAGAAAAGCAACTCTTATAGCCACTCTTTGGCAAAAGATTCTCCCAGAACGTCTAGGTAGCACAACTCCAGGAACTCCTGGAAGTTCTCATAAAATTCCATTTAAATGATACCCTCTGAAGTTGTGCAATGTGGGTAGCTCTGAATTAGCCCCACTGGGCCTTCGGACAGAAAGGATCATTAAAGCACATTCGTATTTTATCCATACTCTGTGGATTTTTAGTTGTATAAATAACTGCTCCTCTAGAGGATAAAGAGCCTACCTAGGTCCACATCTAGAATTATGTAATTAACGAGGAAAGGGCAAGTTATAGGCTGCTTAAATGTACATAATGAGCCTCAGTCCATTCCATTTTTCTTGCTTTTATGCAGAAAGCCACTTCCTCCTCTGTAAAAGTAGATGCACTTAGTCATTTCTTGACTCTTAAGCACTAAAGAAGCACAGAGGGTCAGAAAGACATGCAAGCCCAGCTACCTCTACTCATTCCTTTCCAGAGCACCTTTGCCTCAGAAGAAAGTTCTGGTCCTTTCATCCAGCTATATACATGGTCCATGTAACAGCTCTTGGTAGAAATAATTTTGCTCAATCGTTGTTGTGTGTGAAGCCATTGACCTATGTTGAGATGTGCACAATCAACAACGCACCACAGAAGAGCTCTGTCAAGAATGTCATTCATTATATCACACAATGCCATTTCTATTAAGACTTCAGAAAATACCTGCCTGTCCCCAGCCTCAGGAATACTTCTGTATCTCCAAAGCCACAAATATGTTTGTATCTTTTGTACACCTCACCCCTTGCTTCATTCTAATATCCATGCCTTTGTATTGTTGTCTTTTATTTTCCTTTAACATTATGTTATTTTACTCTCTCTTATTCTCTCTCTCTCACACACACACACACGTGCGTGCGCGCACACACACACACACACATCTGTAAACATTAGACCTGTCTGGAACAACGCAGACAGAAGAAAGGAATTATAAATTCTCTAAGTCCAGGATTTATTATACTAGCCATTTGTTAACTTATGCCCTAATGACTGCACATATTTTTCATCTATGATTCTTCCTCTCCTTATTTCCCAATTCCCCCCCCCCAGTTTTATCATAAACACTAATCAGTGGCTTATCCAATATTCAGTGATTTTTTTAAAGAAATGCATCTCTTTACATCTGCTAGTTATTTAAAAGTTGCCAAGCAACTGGGAAGAATTGATTAATGGCAATTGTTCATTTGGGGGAAGTGGTTTTTTGAATTAGTAGACAGTAATTTTTATATTCAAGTCTCTCTGCAGCCAAAAGTAAAATTTATTACTGCAGAACATGTTACTGATTGTGTTTTAAACTTTCACTGACCACCAGCAGCATATGAAGTACTATAAACAACAGCATTAGACATATTACAGCCCAGGGGGAATGCTGCCTAAAATGGTCATTTTCCTGCTTCAGTCTAATATAATTCTGTTCATTTGGTCTATCCTGTTAATTTAGTTTTTACTAGTCATCTCTTATTCATCATTATTTTTAAAGGCCTATATCTACCAGGAAATATTCCCAAGTGATTCTATTCATAAGAAAAAAAGAAAAATCTAATTTGCAGAAAATATCTGAATCCCAACTGTGTTATAAATTCTGAGCTCTCTCTAATGTCTTGATACAATTTGAATAATAGCCTCTTTATTTGTTTTAATGTTGCAAATCTAGATTTTAAATGTTTTGCTTTACTTCTGTTACCTCCAGAAATTCAGAAATTATTCCCTTCAGGTATGTATCTTTTTAAGTGCATTATAATTTCTTGTGTATTATGATTCCTCATGTAAAAGTTAGGTCAGGGTGCAGGTTACTCTTTTCCCCAAATAGCTGTGGTACTGAATTACACACATGGTGAAGGCTACCTAAATCTTTGTTGACTGTGAAAGAAAGGCACGCTTTCCAGTGCCCACTTCCATCATTCGGTCTCTCTCCACCGGCCTCACGATGCGTACACCGTGTTACTACAGCTCCAACTTTCCCTGACCTATGTTCCCTTGCAGCTTTCCATGATCTCTGGCACATGTGCAGACAATATAATTGAGAAGCATCATTAACATCAAACATGGGAAAAGCTGGGGAAGCAACAATTCTTCTTCCTTTCTTTAAACTGCATAAAAGCTCAAGAGACAGAGAGAAAATGATCACACAGCTCAGACAGAAAGTTGTATAATGCCCCACGGCAGAGCAATAGTGTAAAATGTGAGGTATAACCCATCCCCTCTTTCTGAAACTGGTGATTCCCCAATCCTTCCAAGTTCTAGGACTGGATAAACAATTTGTGATTGTCATTGGCTAGTTCTAACAACTCCAGATAAGTTACAACCATTTGGATGTGCTTCCTTTTTGGAGAATTCAAAAAGAGTGACTGAAATCTAAGGCCCCCCTGAGGACATCTGAGTCACCCCAAATAATCAGAAGAATTTCTATTCTGGTAAAATGTTCACTCTCCCAAACTTGCTTCACCTTTATGGCAGTTAGAAGCTCATTAAAAAGCTTCTGTTTTTACATAGCATATAGAGGCCCTATACATTTACCTGCTCTACCTTTCGAAACCTCATTGCATAACATAAAATGAAGAAAAAAAAACCCTTTGCTTTGTATTAGTTTACTGAAGCTTCTATAACATGACCACACATTTGGTGGCTTAAAACAGTAATAATTAACTCCCTCACAATTCTGGAAGCCAGAAGTCTGAAATAAATATCACTAGGAAGAAATCAAGATGCCAGCAGGGCCACGAGCCCTCTGGAAGAGGGGAAGCTGTTCCTCACCATTTCCAGCTTCTGATGGCTGCCAGTATTCCTCGGTGTGGGGGTGCATTATTCCAACCTACCTTTGTGGTCCCATTTTCTTATCCCTTTCTGCCTGCTACAAATCTCCACCTGTCTCTCTTTGATGAGGATTCTTGTTATTGCATTTGGAGCCCTGCATATCCAGGATATCCAGGATAATCTCCCATTTCAAGATCTTTAACTTGATCACATCTGCAAAGTATTTGCCACATAAGAAAACCTCATGATTTCCAGGGATTAGGACATGGCTACCTTTGAAAGGAGCCATTATTCAGCCTAGCACATACCCAAAACAATGCCAAGAGGGAAATTGCCAGAGACTAAGGAAGCACAACTTTTTGGAAGATTAAGATAGATGGAGCAGTGGGGACTACTACAACAAAGTAAAGGAATAGGGGAATGGAAACAAAAATTGAACCATAGCACGGACCTAGCTTCTGCTCCTAAACTCAACAGGAGAGCCGAGGCTATTCTCTGGAGAAAGAAAATCAGAAGGATCCCAGAGTTATGGCCACAAAGCAGAATGGAGGAGAGAAGTGTGACACACGACTGAAAACTAGAAAATTAACGCAAAGTCTACTCAGTGAACTAAAGGACTTTCAAACTCAAGATGCCATCATAAAGCTCCAAGTCAGGGAACTGAAGGATTGTTCTCTAGTGGGGGAAAAAAAAAGGAATTTCAGAGAAATGCACCTACAAATAACAACATTTGGTCTCATCCCAATTAAAAGACTAACTTCCTCCCTTAAGACTTATAATAGCAATTCTCAAACTTTCTCGTCTCAGAACCTCTTTACACTCATAAAAATCATTGCAGATCCCAAGAAGCTCTTGTTTATGTAGGTTATATCTACCAAGTTTTACCATATTAGAAATTAACCTGTGAATTTAAAAAATATATATATTCATTTCAAAATAACAATAATCCACTACATAATATAAAAAATGTTTTATTGAAAAATAACTATATTTTCAAAAAAAAATTTAGTAGAAGTGTGGTATTTTTGGCAACCTCTTTAATGTCTCTCTTAATAAAAGATACCAGGATTCTCATATCTGCTTCTGTATTTAATCTATTGCAACACGTAAATTTTGTTGAAGTCTGTGAAAAAAATGCACCCTCCCAGCAATATATAGTTGGAAAACGGAAGAGTATTTTAATAGCCCTTTGAGATAATTGCAGATTGAAACTACACTCCAACTTGAAAAGGAGTAGTTTCTTAAAGGTCAATTGCAAGGCAGAATCTGAAACCACATCAATGAACTTTTTGACTCTATTACAGTAAAGTCTGTCCTGCACTTTGAATATATTTTTACCCATGCATGGAATTTTGTAGCATCATGCATTTATCATTTGGAAAACCTTTGTTCACAGAGTTATAAAGATCTCCCAAATGTTGACAAATTTCGTTACATAATATCAAAAAATTACACTTGTTAATATTACCACTAATCTCATCAGAAAATTTGGTAATTACTGGAAAGCTCTTAAGTTCCTAGTTGCCAATACAAGTTTTCCAAATTCTGATTTTTTGAAAGCTTGCATTTTATCATTACCAGTAAGGCCACTTTATTTATTTTCAAAAAATGTCTGGCAAATACCCACATCTGCATAACCAGTTTTTCAGTCAGTCATTCTTTCAAGTAAAAATGGTTTCCATGAAAAAAAATGGTGACTTCAACTCTCAATTCAATTGCACTAGTGCTTTTCCTTGAGGCAGCCATTGTATTTCAGAATGCAGCAGAATAGTAGGCATAATTCCCATTTTCTCACACGAAAAATTAAAAGATGTATACACAATTTACAAGTTTTATGGCTTTATCAAGGCCAATATCAAGTAAAACTAGCATATTTCTTTTTTACAACAGTGTGTGGTGGTAAAGAATATACTAAAAGTATACTAAGTATACCTTCGTGCCATTTCCTTCATCCATGGCAAAGGCTTCGGCAGTTTTACCCATCACTGTTTTGCACCATCAGCACAAAAGTTAATGTAGTGAAAAAGGCAAATAAAATCTTGGCATTAATATGAAAATAATACAGACCTCATGAACTCCCTACAAAGTTCTCTGGGACCTCAGGGGTCCTTGAACAACACTTTGAGAACCACTGCCCTACAGTAAAATAAACAAATACTGTCTTCATGTTCTGAGAGTCCAAGATGCATTTAGTCCCTTATGTAGAACAGGAAGAGTCAATTAAAAGTAACCCATGTGTTGAGGGTTCCCAAGAGCATCTACAGACTCAATGATTCACTAGAAGGGCACACAGGACTCAGAAAAGTGGTTACATTTATGGCTATATTTTAATACAATGAAAGGATATATACAAAAATCAGCAAAAGGAAAGGACACATGGGGCAAATTCCAAGAGAAACTAGGCACAAGCTTCCAGGTGTCTACTCCCAGTAGAGTCACAAAGGGCTGCAATTAATTTCTTAGCAATGACATGTGACACAATGAAAGTGTTGCCAACCAAGAAAGCTCACCTGAGTTTTGAGGTACAGGTTTTTATCAAGGAGTCAGTTATACAGGAAAGCAAGACAATGTATGACTAATCTGAGCTACTCACACTTCAGCCCCCATCATTCAGAGCAAAAACAGGCATTCACCATAAATCACATGGTTAGCATAAAATATCTGATCAAACTGGTATAGGGTGACCAAGGCCTCCAGGACACAAACGCCATCTTATCAGTCAGACTATGCCAAGGACTCAGGATTTATCTCCCAAGAGCCAGCCAAGAGCCAATCCTAAAGGCAGGCCTTTCTTTGAAATGTACAGGATTTGAGTAACCCAGGCCTGCTGAGTTAACCCTTTCCTGCTCAACCTACCTCCAACATGAAAGAAAAACATAACAACAAGAAGCTGAAAGAAGAGATAGAAACAAAGCGACAGCAGAGAACAATTCAAATAAAGTATAATTAATCAACTCAATGAGAGAGAAAAGATACTGCATTCATAAAACAAAGTAAGAAAGCTACACAATGATCAGAAGATAAGAAAGAGCTCCTGGAAATTAACTATCATCATAATACATCCAAAATAGAGAAATCATTCAAATGCTAGAAAGTTAAAACAGAAATTACCAAGAAAGTAGAATAAATAGACAGAAAATATAAAAGGAAAGGTAAAAGAGATACAGAACAAAACTCTCTAGAATTGATTCAGGATAGCCAATGAATAACAGCAATACCAAAATGAGAGAATAGTTAGGAAGAATAGTTCAAAGAAATCACACAAGATATGTTTTCCAGAACTAAAAGGTAAGCATCTGGAGTTTGAAAGGGCCAATAAAGTGACTAGAACAATGAAAGCATATGTACTTTTTACAAAATTTCAGAATGCCAGAGAAAATGAGAAGATCCTAAAAGTTTCCAGAGAGAAAAAGTCTGTGAATACAAAAGTGAGACTAAGAATGGTATCAAATTTCACAACAGCAGTACTGAATGCTAGAAGACAGTGGAACAATGCTTTAAAATCTGAGGAAATATTATCTCTACTTAAAATTCTGTTTGAAGCCAAAGTATCAACCAAGTATGATGACAAACTAGAAACAGGTTAGACACAAAAGGACAACCCATGCCCCCTTTTGAAGGATATGCTCCAGCAAAAAAGGGAGTCAGTCAGGAAAGAGAAATTCATAGATTACAGGCTCCAACAAAAGAAGAGTGAGTGTCAAAGGTCTTGAGGGATAGGGAGAGATTTGTGAAAGGATACCAATTTACAGTTAGATGGGAAGAATAAGTTCTAGTGCTCTATATCCTATAGGATGACTATAGTTAACAATAATGTATTAAATAGCTTTAAATAGCTAAAAGGAGGATGTTGAACATTCCAAACACAATGAAATGATCAATGTTTGAGATGATGAATATGCTAATTATCCTGGTCCAAACACTATACATTATATCTACCAAAACATCACTATGTGCCCCATGAATAGGTACAGTTATTTGCCAATTAAAAAAATCAAAAAATTAAGGTACAATATTTTTAATTTTTTTTAAAAAAAGAAAGGTCCCACAACGATCTCAGGAATCACTTTGTTTTTCATTAAAAGTATAACAACCATACAACCTCTGGGAATAGCTTTTAGTGTTTTTCAAGCAATATCTCATTCTAACTTCTCAAGAGGCCAGTGGGATCCTTCTTATCTTCATCTTTCCAGTGAAAAAAAAATGTGTGGTAGGAAAATTAATACTTTCCCCCAAATTCACATGACTAGTAATTGGCAAAGCTAGGACTTGAACCCATGGAGACCCCAATGCCCATTCCCTTAACCATATACTGTCTCCAAGACAACAAATATGGAAAAGAATCATAGTAGTAGAAATTGTAGCAATAGCAAATGTCTTTAATATCTAATAACCAAGCTGCAGATACATCTCAAGACATTAGTTAGAAACTCTTGTATTATTTTATGCTGAATATCTATCTACCTCTCCTTTCAAATGACCCCAGCTAGAACAGCAACTAGCCAAATGGCTGGAACATATAAAGAACTTAATAAATATTGGTTGGGTGAATTAACTCAATAATCTCAACAATGCATCTATCTGAAATATCTTAACAGCTAAAATTTTTTATAGTTAGCTTACAGAGTTAACATAGCAACTTAATTTATAGTCAACAATTTGTTACTTGTGAAAAAAATTTTGTCATAAAGATTGTATATGTATAATCACCCCAAGTTAGTAATAGTATAAATTTTAAGCATAAGGATTGTGGGGAAAAATGGTATTACCTTATTAATTGATAATAAAGTATCTAGGATTTGAAATACATTATTTCTGTTCAAGTTGCAATTAGAAAAATATATACTGGCAGTTATTAAAACAAAAATTGTTCTTGATTAGTAACCATATTTTATAGAATCAAGTTTTTTTATATTTTAATCTGTTATCAATAAGAAGATATACAATGACACACTTAAAGCATTTAAAATTTATTTCAAATATTATATATGCTCCAAATATGTAAGCCCACTTGTGTTTATTCTATAAAGGAAAATAAGGTCAATTTCTAATTTCACAGAACATTGGTGTGTACTTTCAAAGTACTGATTTTGCCTCTGACAGAGTTATCTCATTCCATTAGAAAATTAGGGCTTAGAGGTTATCAGAAACATAGCAGAATATTACATGTGCATGATGGAAATTTATCCCTGAGCATTCTCCATTTCATTTCCTCTAGATTTCCACTTTCCTTCTGCAGACAGCCAGACCTGCCACACTACAATGAAGTATTGATATAAAATTTTAATTTGTTAGTTGGATTAAAAGAATTTTCAGAATCATTATTCAGACCATTGGTATATTTCAAGTTATATTTACATATTCTAGGAACAAAAATAAATATACCTGAAAATATTCATCTATGTTCATAAATTTATGTGTTGTGAAATTTTTATAGAATTATTCAAACTAGATTGTACATAGTAAAATTCTTCAAAGTTTACCATGTTAGCAAGTATTAGTGTCTCTGAGCTATTTTTATTTCCCAAATTCAACTAAAGATGGAAATTTATTTTTAAAGGTAGTAGTATCCTATGACAAACATACTGCATGACATTTTCTAGAACAGGCAAGGTAGAGTAAGGAACAGGAAGTCTTGGGAAACTATGTTTTATCTTTTAATCTGGAAAAAGCAAAAGAAGGGAGAAATTAAAGACATTATATGGGGTAACTCATGTACAAACATTTTTTAAACCATACAGCATTACGCAAACTAAAGGTATTGTTTATTTAGAAATTGACGTATTTTTCTCCTTTAATTGTTCAGCATCCGAAAAGACAAAACATAAATCCTTAGAATTTTGAAACTGAACAGGCCCTAGATATTGGAGTCTCTTTTAAAAGGTTAAGTGGGTTGTATAACCAGTTGACATTAGAACAGAGGCTAAGTTTCTATCCTTTCACTCATTTTTATTGTCACTCATTTCTCTAATATTTCTGTATTGTTTCTATATTGGTTCTTATTTAATATACATACTTCTTTACTGAACATGTCAGCCGCTTCTTTGCTGATTTGAGGATTTTTATAAAAGAGCAACAATAAATCATCAAGAGTTTTAAATGGGGAAATGGCATGACTCAACCTACGTTTTGCAAAAATGTGTCCACTGTATGAAGAATGGCATAAAAGGAAGAAAGAACAGATGCCAGGAGACACACAAGTTTGAGATGACATAGCTAGGAGTAGAGTAGGGCTCTATAGATGGAGAGAAGTAGAAAGATTTAACATGTATTTGAAGGTACAGTCCACAAGACTTAAGGATAAGTTTGATGTGTGATAAGAAAGAAAAAGTAACTCTTGGTTTTAGCATTTTACCATCTACGGATAATTTTATTTTGGGTCTTTTTTTCTTTATATAAAAAAACTTTATTGGATTTAGATTAATTCTTGGATTGTCACTGTAGTGTAGTGAGTATACTTCACTTGTCCTATAATTTAATTTTCCTCAAACTTTATCAATCTTTCAATACGACTGATTTCAAATCATCAGTCATACCGTGCTCTTGTCGCCCCACCTCCTGATGGAGGATCTCTCACCTACCTCAAAGGAATTTTTCCAAAAGGGCTGTCTCAAAGGCCTGGAGAGACAGAGGTCTCACATAGTACGCATTAAAACGCTATAGCCTTGAGTTAGGAATAAATCACACATAAACAAAAAGTGCCATCATCACCTTTCCCGGCAGACAGTTCCCTTTGGGGAATATAGTAGTATGCTGACATTTGTCCATACAGACATACTTCATTTTATTGCAGTCCACTTTATTGCATCTTACAGATACTGGGTTTTTTTTTTTTGTTGCTTTTGTTTCTTGTTTTACAAATTGAAGGTTGTGGCAATCCCGTGTTGAGCACATCTCTCAGTGCCATTTTCCCAACAGCTTGTGCTCATTTCATGTCTCTGTGACATTTTAGTAATTCTTGCTATATTTCAAACTTTTTCATTATTATCTGTTTTAATGATCTGTGTTTGGTGATCTTTTTTTATGTATAAACATGGGCATTTATTTATAATGAGAACAGAAATTACAAGAAAAAAGATCTTCAAGAGCTGATAAATACCATAACTCTCATTGCATGATACCTTTAATAAAATGAAATATAAGAGTTATGGGCAATGGGATAAAGCTACTTAATGTGTCTTCTCCACTGATCAAAAATATTCCATATAGTCTCGGTGAGGAATTCCTCAGGATATAAATGGCTATTTACATTGTAGTGAATTATATCATATATAAGATTCACTCAGTAATGTTAATAATGAACTGGCTATAATTGGCAAGATGCAATGCTTGCCATTTTATGACATTAACATGGTTTGAAACTAACATATTACATAGTACCAGTGTAGTCAGAGCTACCCTCAGCCATGATGAACATGTTGCCTGTTTTGCCTGGTGTTTTGGCAGCAAAACAGGAAGCAATCTTGTCTGGGTCATTGTTCTGTCAATTTGTGGAAAAAATTACTTGAGTCTCATATAAATATCCAATAGGTCCATAAACCCTTCAACCCATTTCTATGGCAAAACTCACTTTTCCTTTTATACGTGTCCCTCAGTCTCTTAATTTTGTCAGGTGGAGCTTGATCCTAATTTTAACCTTGGTAAAGGAGGATAAGAGTGGTGTTTCTTTTGCCCTTTCTAGTACAAATGGAGGGACACTAAGCATTAACTTAATAACTACATTTAAGACTTGAACACATGCTACACTTTTGTCATCTTCTGACATAAGTTTACCTGAGTTTCCTTGATTTTGATGATTTGTTTCCTATCTCTTCCTCTGGATGTAGATTTTACTATTATTATTATTATTACTTAGATGGAGTGTCACTCTGTCGCCAAGGCTGGAGTGCAGTGGCACAATCTTGACTCACTGCAACGTTCACCCCCCAGGTTCAAATGATTCTCCTGCCTCAGCCTCTTGAGTGACTGGGATTATAGGCACATGCCACCACATCCGGCTAATTTTTGTATTTTTAGTAGAGATGGGGTTTCGCTATGTTGGCCAGGCTGGCCTCAAACTCCTGACCTCAAGTGATCTGCCTGCCCTGGCCTCTCAGATTGGTAGGATTACAAGCTTGAGCCACCATGCTCGGCCTGGATGTAGATTTCAATAGTTGAACTTAATTCTGCAATGTTCTGCTTGATGGAATAACTGAGTATCTGTAAATTGTGTAACAATGATGTATACTGTTGCATTAGGTGAGCTTCTGAAGAGTGAAGTTGATACTTTGGTCAATGTTCTTTTCTCCTCAGTGTCTAGTCTGAGGCCTTTTAGAAGATTGATGTGTAGCAATTATTTAATGAATTGAATATTTAAAAATTTTTAATTGCTATATTTGGTAATTATCTCTCTGCTTGAAATCAAATGCACTATAAGTGAATTCAACAAGTAAAATACATTATCTTTGAAAATAGTTTCTTTTTAAAGGAATACTCATTAATTGCAACTTATAAAACTAAAAGTTCTAATGGTTTTTAAAAACCAGTGTTGAGTGGGAAAGTGTTTTAGTTTGGAAATACCAGTGAAGTATCCTAGTCAGGTAAAGAACCTGTTTTCTCAAAGAATGTAAGTTGCTATATCTGGAGGGGCATATAGGACAGGGTAGTTCTAATTACTGTCTGTGAGAGTTACCACTTTGTAACTTATGGTTTCTGCTGCAGTATTGTGTCGGTTCTGTACTATAAATTGTACCTTAGTAGACCAAAAATATCTATGCAGCACTGATTTCCTTGAATATTGTCTGCTAATTGATATATCTTCTAGAGGCAAAAGGTTTAAAAGTATGTTAAAATTGTTATATTGCCTCCTTTATAAACAAATTGAAGAGCTGTAAATACTACTGTAGATCTCTTCTGTTTCCCACAGCAAATATTGATTTTATAATTGTTAAGTATTTCATATTTTAATTTAAATTGGATTCAATCACAATAAAGAAAACGAGACAAAAAATACCATAAATATCACAAGCACCTAGTATTTTTAAAAATCAATTAACTGCCTGTCATCTCTCTTAATAATACAGTTTTGCCACATTATTGGAGGCATACCCTGGTCATCTTTTCACACGACAATGAATATCATTTTCTACAGAGACAAGGCAAGAAAATTCAGTCTTGCCTTTAGCATGGTTGATCAAAGTTTATTCTATTAGTGATAATTTAGAAAGTTTATTTTAGCTCCAGTTAGCTCCTTTTAGCTCATTACTGGTTATCATGTAAGTGTTCAGGATTGTTATCAACTTTAGGAGAACTTCTGGTTTCTTTTCAATATAAACTGTAAAATTTTTTTCCTGTAGGAGTTGTAAGATAAAAAGAAATTTTTGTACAATGACCAGTCATAACTATTCCTTGAACTGACAATACTCATTAACCATTTTGTCATTGATGTTCTCATTTTAGTAGCTAAATGTGAATTTTATATTACATTCATCAAGGTCAGTATTTCATGTCAAATCAGCAGGAAATTTAAAAAGAACAATTCTGATTAATTCTATTTTGGGTGACTTCCACCAAAAAAAAAATGGTGTATTTATAATTGTATTTGCCTTCTTATCAATATATTTATTTTAGGAAGGAAATTTCTCTTTTGACTTGGCCTCAATGAAAACTTTATCCTTCATTCACAATTTTACAATGTCTAATGATCAGAAGAATTTTCCATAGACTAGCTTCTAGCTATGTATATTTCAAGCCTTGCTTCTCTTCTACTCCTCATATACTTTGGGGGCCAGGTGCCATAGGACACATTCATATCATGTCTTGACCTTAGTTCTGCATCTTCATGCTGTGATAGCTAACAAATGAGTCAACATAATGTGCAGAAGAAACATTCCTGGAAGCCATTCTTAGATTAGAAGTGAAAGCGAAAACAATTCTGTACAAAGTGACTGTGAGCTATATAAATATTTCCCACTAAAGCAAAACTAAATGTATCCACAATTAAAATTCCCCTTATTCAGATTCCCAAAATGACTTCTACTCTAATGGTACTCAACTCTAGATATGTGATGGAAGGGAAGCCAGGGTAGAAAGAGACAAAATTCTTAACAATTTTGGTTGAAAATACTTTATTTCTGCAAACGACCTGCTTTAATGTGTGTGTTTGTGTGTGCGTGCGAGCATGGAAACTGTTTTTATATGTGTATTTCTAAATGAACAACTTCTATAGAGCCCCTTTCAAGACTTTGAAAGGGACCTGTGCAAGCTTATGCTCCATTAACCTCAAGGTGAATCTGACTCTGTCTAGCACTCTATAATTCTATCAACTAATCCCTAATTTTGAGGATGAGAGGAGTTGGGATGGGAGCCTTCTCAAAGCCTCTAACATTACACAACACAAAGAGCTTTCTCTATTTCTTGTTTAATCTTAAATTTTCTTTTTTGAATTTTTAACTTATATTTTAGGTTCAAGTGTACATGTGGAGGTTACACAGGTAAACTCATGTCACAAGGGTTTATTGTGCAGCTTGTCACCAAGATACTAAGCCTATTGTCCAATTTTTTACTTTTTCAGATCTTCTCCCTCCTCTTACCCTCCACACTGAAGTAGGCTCCAATGACTGTTGTTCCCCTCTATGTGTTCATGTGTCCTCATCATTTAGGTCCCCCTTGTAAATGAGAACATGTGGTATTTGGTTTTCTGTTTCTGCATTAGTTTGCTAAGATTAATGGCCTCTAGCTCCATCCATGTCCCTGCAAATGACATGATCTCATTCTTTTTTATGACTGTGTAGTATTCCATGATGTATGTGTACATTTTCATTATCCAACCTGCCATTGATTAGCATTTACATTGATTCCATGTCTTTGCTATTGCGAATAGTGCTGCAATGGACATACACGTTCATGTGTCTTTATAACAGAGCAATTTATATTCCTTTGGGCCTACATCCAGTAATGGGATTGCTGGATCAAATGGTAGTTCTGCTTCTAGTTCAAGGAGTTGCCCTGCTGTTTTCCACAATGGTTGAACTATTTACACTCCCATCAACAGTATATAAGTGATCTCTTTTCTCCACAATCTCGCCAGCATTTATTTGTTAACATTTTAATAAAAATAGTCATTCTGACTGGTGTGAGATGGTGTCTCACTGTGGCTTTGATTAGCATTTCTCTAATGATGAGCGATACTGAGCTTTTTTCATATCCTTGTTGTCTACATGTATGTCTTCCTTTGAAAAGCGTCTGCTCATATCCTTTGCCCACTTTTGAATGCATTTTTTCTTGTAAATTTAAGTTCCTTATAGATGCTGGATGGTAGACCCTGATTAGATACATAGTTTGCAAATATTTTCTCCCATTCTGTAGGTTGTCTGTTTACTCTATGGATAGTATATTTTGCTGTACTGAAGCTCTTTAGTTACATCCCATTTTTCAATTTTTGCTTTTGTTGCAATTGCTATTGGCATCTTCATCATGAAATCTTTGCTCATTCCTATGTCCAGGATGGTATTACCTAGGTTGTCTTCCAGGGTTTTTATAGTTTTGGGTTTTACATTTAAGTCTTTAATCCATCTTGAGTTGATTTTTGTATATGGTGTAAGGAAGGAGTCCAGTTTTAATTTCGTACATGTGGCTAGCCAGTTATCCCAGCACTATTTTTTGAATAGGAAGCCCTTTCCCCATTGCTTATTTTTATCAGCGTTGTCAAGTAGGTTTGTGGCCTTATTTCTGGGATCTCTATTCTGTTCCATTGGCCTATGTGTCTGTTTCTGTACCAGTACCAGGCTGCTTTGGTTACTACCGCCCTGTAGTATAGTTTGAAGTCAGGTAATGTGATGCTTCCAGTTTTGTTCTTTTTGCTTAGGACTGCCTTGGCTCTTTTGGCTCTTTTTTTTTTTGTTCCATATGAATTTTAAAATTGTTTTTTTTAGTTCTGTGAAGAATGTCATTGGTAATTTGATAGAAATAATATTGGATCTATAAATTGCTTTGGGCAGTAAGGCCATGTTAATAGTGATTCTTCCAATCCATGAACATGGACTGTTTTTCCATTTGTTTGTCATTTCCGATTTCTTTGAGAATTGTTTTGTAATTCTCATTGTAGAGATCTTTAACCTCCCTGGCAACTGTATTCCTAGATATGTATTCTTTTTGTGGCAATTGTGAACGGGATTGCATTCCTAGCTTGGCTCTTGACTTGGCTGTTGTTGGTGTATTGAAATGCTAGTGATTTTTGGATGTTGATTTTGTACGCTGAAACTTTGCTAAAGTTGTTTATCAGCTGAAGGAGCATTTGAGCTGAGACTAGGGGTTTTCTAGGTATATAATTATGTCATCTACAAACAGAGATAGTTTGACTTCCTCTCCTTCTATTTGGATGCCCTTTATTTCTTTCACTTGTCTAATTGCTCTGGCCAGGACTTCCAATACTATGTTGAATAGGAGTGATGAAAGAGGGCATCCTTGTTTTATGCTGGTTTTCAAAGGAAATGCTTCCGGCTTTTGCCCATTCAGTATTATATTGGCTGTGGGCTTGTCACAGATGGCTATTATTTTGAGGTATGTTCATTCGATACCTAGTTTATTGAGAGTTTTTAACATGAAGTGGTGTTGAATGGTACTGAAAGCCTTTATACATTGTTGTAGTCATGTGGTTTTTGTCTTTAGTTCCATCAATGATCTTTGATGTTACTATTGTACTTGTTTTGGAATGCCATGAACCATGCCCATATAAGATGGCCAAGTTAATGGGTGAATGTAGTGTGTGTTCTGACAGCTCCACCAGCTAACTGGCTGTTCCCCCATATTTCTCTCTCTCTTCAAGCCTCCCTATTCTCTGAGACACAGCAATGTTGAAAAGACTCCAAATAATAACCCTACAATGGCTTCTAAGTGTTCAAGTGAAAGGAAGAGTTGCACATCTCCACTTAAAATCAAGAGGCAGAAATAATTAAGCTTAGTGAGGAAGGCATGTTAGAAGTTGAGACAGGCCAAAAGCTAAGCCTCTTATAACAAACAGCCAAGTTGTGAATGCAAAGGAAGAGGCAAGGCCCTCCACTAGCAAAAAGATTATGACTCCCTGAAGTCTCAGATGATCTTTAGCATTTTTTAGCAATAAGTATTTTTTATTTGAGGTATGTACATTTTTGAGACATAATGCTATTTAACACCGAACAGACTATAGTATAGTATAAACATAGCTTTTATATGCACCGAAAAACTAAAAAATTGAAGTAACTCATTTTATTGCAAACTCACTTATTGCAGAGTTCTAGAACTGAACCCACAATAACTCTGAAGTGTGCCTGTATTTAGAACCCAGTTGATTATATTTGAAACTGCTTCTGTTATAATTATGATGACTTTTTGTCTAATTGAGTCACCACTAGTTTTGATAAGATCTTTTTAGAAACCTTATAAATGCCAATCTCTAACTAGCTTTGATTATGAGTATAATAGAAATTATGTAACGGTATATAGGAGGTAATTGAAAGTAGAAATAGGCTGGGCGCAGTGGCTCATGCTTGTAATCCCAGCACTTGAGGAGTTCCAGGTGGGTGGATCATAAGGTCAGGAGTTCGAGACCAGCCTGGCCAACATGGTGAAACCCTGTCTCTACTAAAAATACAAAAATTAGTTGGGCGTGGTGGCACATGCTTGTAGTCCCAGCTACTCAGGAGGCTGAGGTAGGAAAATCACTTGAACCTGGGAGGCAGAGGTTGCAGTGAGCCAAGATCGCGCCACTGCACTCCAGCCTGGTGACCGAGCAAGACTCTGTCTCAAAAAAAAAAAAAAAAAAAAAAAAGGAGAAATAACACAAGGTAATCCAACTTCAGCTCAATAAAAACTCTGTATCATATACAAAAGTAAACTGTCTCCTCTTACAAACAGAATTGAGGACTATAAGTTGCAAATAAAAAACTCCCTTTGTCATTTGTGAGTCAATTAGATCTAAGTTATTAAAATATTAAAGTTTAAATATTACATGAGAGCTTCCTGAAACTTCTAGTATTACAAAGAAAATATGGTCACTGCTCACCACATTGCATGTGGATCAGCTAACAACTTCAAAATGCTGTGTGAAAAGAAGTCAAAAGAAGGTCTTAAAATACTAATTCTGGTTGGTGGAATTATCAGTGATATTCATTGTTTGCTATTTTTCATATTTTACAAGTTTATACTATTATTAACATGTAAAACTTTTTAGATCAAATAAATGTTATCATAGCTAGTGTAAAAAATTACACCCCAATTTTAAAAAAAAACTTAACTACAAACCTATAGTAATCAAGATAGTGTAGTACTGGCATATGGATAGACATGTGGATAAATGGAATTAAATTGAGAGTCCAGAAATAAACCCTTAAATTTACATTCAATTGGTTTTCAACAAATACACCAAGATAATTCAAGAGAGAAAGAAGTTTTCAACAAATGGTGCTGGGGCAACAAACATCCACATGTAAAAGAATGAAGTTGGACCCCTGTCACACATCACATATAAAAATTAACTCAAAAATAAATCAAAGACCTAAATGTAAGAGCTAAACCTATAAATATATCAGAACAAAATGCCAGTACACATCTTTTGGGGACTTCAAATTAGGCAATGGTTTCTTAGGTGCAACTCTTTAGTGTCAAAGCCCAAGAAAGGAAACAAAAATAAAGTGGACTTTATCAAAATTAAAAAAGGTTGTGCTTCAAAAGACACCCCAAGGAAGTGAAATGCCAACCCACAAAATGAGAGAAGGTATTTTCAAATTATATATCTTATAAGGAACTTATATGCAGAATAAAGAATTCTTACAATTCAACAATACAAAGACAGTCAAATTATAAAATGGGCAAAAGATTTTAACAGACATTTCTCCAAAGAAGATGTATGAATGACAAATAAGGACATGAAGGTCAACATAATTAGTCATTATGGAAATGCAAATCAAAATCATAATGAGATACCAGTTCATACCATGAGGATGGCTATGATCAAGAAAGCATACAATAACAAGTGTTGGCAAGGATGTAGAGATATTGGAACTCCCATATATTGCTAATAAGAATCTAAAAGTTACAGCCACTTTGTCAAACAATTTATAAGTTCCTCAAAATGTTATACACAGAATTACAACAAAACCAAGCAATTTCACTAATAGTTATCTTCATATGAAACGTTTGAAAACTTAAGTCCACACAAACACTTGTACCTGAATAGCAGCATTATTTATAACAACCAGAAAGTGCAAACAACCCAAATGTCCATCAACCTATGAAAGAATGAACAGAATGTGGTGTATCCATACAATACCATTTGTCAACAAAAAAGAATGAATTACTGACACACACAACACGTATGGACCTTGAAAACATCATGCTAAGTGAAAGAAGCCAAACTCAAAAGGCCACGTATTATATGATCCCGTTAATGTATAATATCCAGAATATGGAAATCTATACAGATGGAAAGTAGATTTGTGGTTTCCAGGGACGGGGGAAACAAGGTTGAGAAGAAGGAGTGACTGCTAATTGGTAAGGCTGATGATGTGTTGTAAACTTAGATTCTGATGATAGTCGCACACCTTTGTAAAAACACTAAAAACCATTGAGCTTTATGTATGCTGTAAATTAATGAGCTTTATGGTGTGTAAATTATATATCAATACAGTGTTTTTAGAAGGATGTTCATAGCAATAGTGTTTGTAACAAAAGAAAATTGAAAATAACCTAAATATCCATCAATAGAACAGATAAATAAACTTGCATATTTATACTCTGAAATATCCACGTCAAAGAAAATGAATAAACAATATACAAAGAGCATGAATAGAGAAAAATCTCAAAAACATTGTTGAGCAGTAGGAGGCACTCACAGAAGCACACAGAATGATTCCATTTATAGAGTTCAAAAAGGTAAAACTACATGAAGTAACTCTTCTGACTTGATTATTCACTTAAAGGGAAAAAAATCAACATCATAATAATTTGCCCATTTTATAAAATCTTTAATTTTTAAAGTTAGACTATTTTGCTATGAAAGAAGTCCTTATTTATTCTATAAAAAGACACTGTCAATCTTTATCTTCATCCTGTACTTCGTTTTACCAAATTCTTATTCAAAGAAAATTAAACAGAAAAAAAAAGATCTTGACGTCAGAGATGCCAACGTAGACCGATAAATACTGTTTAGAATTGACTCATCTAAATTAATGGATGTTTTGTACTGTTTAATACCAAAAAGTCCATTAAATATTACAAACAGAAGGATAAGTTCACATTCTATCTCAGCGAGTGGCTGGCAGTTTAAGAGAATATGCAATTGAGGACAGCAGTTCTATTCTAATTAGTCATAAATGACTTCACAGAGCATCTTAATACTTCAAGATCTTCTGTGCCAAATGAAAACAAGTTGGCAAATAGAAAACCTTTAAAATTCAATTGTCTTTATTTTGAGGCTGTTTTCCCTTTTCAGAATTCTCTGATTACACATTTTAAATCTAATTAAAGATTAATAAAAAGTTAAGCTAGAATTCCCCCACACCTATCACTTTACTAAGTGGTTTGCAGATGGTTTAGATGGTATCATTTCTGAAAGAGAAGTGGCTGACAAGACCAGAGGGTTCCTGGGTTCTACTAACAGGAGGTTCTGATTCAGTGAGATTTATACAACTGTATATTTTAAAAGGTACTACAAGATATTTCAAGGAAATCAATGAATTCAAGACTTCTTAAAGTTCCAGTTCCAGTTTTGTATTTTAAAGTAGGATAATCATGTAAAGCAACTAGTTGGCAACATCAGAATGGTACTGAACCGGCTGCATCATCAAATCACAAGACTTGGGATGTAAACACACTCTGCCTTGTGATAAGCAGAGCAGCTGTGTTTTATCTAGTAAGCAAAGCTGGAATCCTATCTCACTAAGAAGGCCCAACGGGCCTTACTGAACACAAAATCAGTAAGCACACTTTGGGAGGCTGAGGTGGGCAGATCACCTGTGGTCAGGAGTTTGAGACCAGCCTGGCCAACATGGTGAAACCCCGTCTCTACTAAAAATATAAAAATTAGCGGGGCGTGTTGGTACATGCCTGTAATCCCAGCTACTTGGGAGGCTGAGGCAGGAGAATCGCTTGAACCCAGGAGGCGGAGGTTGCAGTAAGCTGAGATCACGCCACTGCACTCCAGCCTGGGTGACAGAGCAAGTCTCCATCCCCCTCAAAAAAAAAAAGAAAAAAATCAGTAAGCAGAATTCATTATTTAAATAATATACATTCTTCAAGATATTTACAGAGAAAATGAAATTATGTTCTCCATCTCTACGTATGTGGTAGTATTTTCCTTTTACATGTGTGTAAACAATCTCTACACTTTGCGTCTTAGATTTTATTCAAAGATTTTCATGCCTTTCTGTAAAAATGAAAATTAGAAATCAAAAGAAAATTATTAACCCCATGTCTTTATTTCTCTAGCTTTGCAATGAAGTAGTAGCACGGTATGTCAAAAAAACACTTAGAACTAAAGCAAAAATTTAATTCTTCATATTTTATTCATTTGTGGTTATTTATTTATTTAGAGACTGAGTCTCACTCTTGTCACCCAGGCTGGACTACAATGGCACAATCTCGGCTCACTGCAAACTTCACCTCCCGGGTTCAAGCAATTCTGTCTCAGCCTCCCGAGTAGGTTGGATTACAGGTACATGCCACCATGCCTGGCTAATTTTTGCATTTTCAGTAAAGACAGAGTTTCACCATGTTGGCCAGGCTGGTCTCAAACTCCTGAACTCAGGTGATTCACCCAATATTTTTTTTTCTATTTCTATAGGTTTTTGGGGGAAACAGGTGGTATTTGGTCACGTAAGTTCTTTAGTGGTGCTTTGTGAGAGATTTTAGTGCACTCAACCCCTGAACAGTATATACTAAACCCAATTTGTAGTCTGTTATCCCTCACCCCCTTCCCACTCTTTCCCACTGAGTCCACAAAGTCCATTGTATCATTCTTATGCCTTTACATCCTCATAGCTTAGGTCCCACTTATGAGTGAGAACATATGATTTTTGGTTTTCCATTCCTGAGTTACTTCACTTAGAATTATAGTCTCCAATCCCACCCAGGCTGCTGCAAATGCCATTAATTTATTCCTTTTTATGGCTGAGTAGTATTCCATCACATACCTGTATATATATATATATATATATATATATATATATATATATATATATATATATACACACACACACACACACAGGTATATATATGTATATATATATACACAGGTATATATATGTATATATATATATATATATACACCACAGTTTCTTTACTTGTTGATTGAAGGGCATTTGGGCTGGTTCCACAATGTTGCAATTGTGAATTGTGCTGCTATAAACATGCATGTGCAAGTATGTTTTTTGTATAATGGCTTTTCCTCCGAGCAGATATCCAGTAGTGGGATTGCTGGATCAAATAGTAGTCCTTTTAGTTCTTTAAGGAATCTCCACACTGTTTTCCATAGTGGTTGTACTACTTTATATTTCTACCAGCAGTGCAGAAGTGTTCCCTTTTCACCACATCTATGCCAACATTTATTTTTTCTTTTATTTTTTGATAAGGGCCATTCTTGCGGGAGTAAGATGGTATCACATTGTGGTTTTGATTTGCATTTCCCTGATTATTAGTGATGTTGATAATTTTTTCATATGTTTGTTGGCCATTTGTATATCTTATTTTTGTGAATTGTCTATTCATGTCCTTAGCCCGCTTTTTGATGGGATTATTTGCTTTATTTGTGCTGATTTGTTTGAGTTCCTTGTAGATTCTGGATATTAGTCCTTTGTTGGATGTATAGATTGTGAATATTTTCTCCCTCTCTGTAGGTTGTCTGTTTACTCTGCTGACTGTTCCTTTTGCTGTGCAGAAGTTCTTTAGTTTAATTAAGTCCCACCCATTTATCTTTGTTTTTGTTGTATTTGCTTTGGGTTCTTGGTCATGAAATCTTTGCCTAAGCCAATGTCTAGAAGGTTTTTTCTGATGTGATCTTCTAGAATTTTTATAGTTTCAGGCCTTATTTAGATAATAGTCACCTCCTACAGACTTCATATAAATAATATAAATCATCTGATTTTTTTAAATGGTCATCTCATAAGGTCCTTAAATTCCTTTGAGGGGTAGATTCTTTCTTGGGATTTCCGTGGATATCACTTCCTACAGATTCATGTTGATAGAGAGCCAGAGGAATTACCAAAATAATATGGAGAAATAGCCAACCCAGTAGTTCAGGTCTGGTACTAAGTGTTATACTTTTCTGGTGTCCACCTAATCTCACCCCTAGTCCTACTAAGGTCCTCTCCAGAAGGCAGGTCTGCTCCGACAAGCCCACACATCATGAAGAGGAGGCTTCCTCTCACTCTCTTACTTCTAACCTTGGGCTGATTTATTTGCTCAACTTCTCTAGCTTTCTTTAGAAAAGAAGTTACATAAGTAAGAACTTTCTTCTGCTCAGGACACATTGACTACAACAAAGCTATTTTAGATTCCTAAAATATTTTGAGAGAGTGCTTACTAAAAGTTAAACATTAAATATCATTATGTCTTTTATTTTTCTTTCAAGGAGTGAAAAATAATATGAGGCTGAATAGCCTATCAAAATATCAATTTTTTTTGTTCTCCCATCCATAGAAATTTTCTCCCTCCATCCCAAGCAGGTTTCTAAGCTTATGTTTTCCCTTGCCTTGCCTCAAAAGTGAGGTATGTTCAAATATAAAACAGAAACTATTGAGATAATATCCCTCCCTAGCTTTTATGTTCAAATACTTAAAGACATAAAAAAGATTACTAGGTCATTCCAGATAAAGAGAAGAGGGAGATGAGGACTTGATGTAGGGGAAAAGGAAGTAGGGCAGCTTCTCTTGAAGAGTGGGAGAACCAGTTTATTGCAACAGAGATGTGCTGACGGCATTCGCTCCCCAAAAAGTGACTTGCTTTCTGACATATCTTAAAAGTGAACTGTAGAAGAGACATGAGCATAGAATATTAAGAATCATATCCCTGAGTGCCTTGGGGAAAGATTATATGCCCTGTCTTGGCACAGAAGTGACAATGCTACTATGTGGCTGAGGAAAGGAGCAGTGAAGATTAAAGACCAGAGGAACATAATGTTGTAGATTGTGGTGCACCCCCAGGACATTTTGGTGATTTGGGTGGTAGGGAAAGAGCCTTATTAATAATTGAGATAGAATTTCTGTGCAATCTACTAGGATGGGAGCTTTGAGAAAATCTAACTTTAAAAAATAAGGGGGATACAACAGTTTCTTACTTTCTTATATAGAATAATAAATCTTTACAATAACAATATTTAGTAGTAAAATTCTCCGTACATATGCTTTACCTTTTCAGCCAAAGTTTAGATGACCAGACAGAACTCTTTCAGAAAACCACTAACCAATATTTTCAATGTAAAGAAATGTCATCTATAGAACCATCAGACATTTGCGGCAGTGCCCACAGAAGAAATATTCTTTGTGTATACAATAAACAGAATGAAGTATAATGAATTGCTCTGAGTTACATACAGCCAATCACTTCTCATTCACAGTGGAATAAAAATGAAAAGGAATAAAACATAAAAATGCAAGACCTCTACTTCTCAAAGTATCTTTTGGGGGCAGAGCAAGACGGTGGAATAAAAGGCTTCCACTGAGTGTCCCCCACTCTCCTGCAAGGATGCCAACAACTGTCTACGCCAAACAAATCACCTTCATAAGAACCAAAAATCAGGCCAGGCACTGTGGCTCATGTCTGTAATCCCAGTACTTTGGGAGGCTGAAGCAGGCAGGTCGTTTGAGTCCAGAAGTTTGAAACCAGCCTGGACAACATAACAAAACCTATTCTCTACAAAAAATACAAATATTAGTTAGGCATGGTGGCATGTGCCTGTGTTCCCTACTACTCAGAAGGCTGAGGCAGGAGGATCACTTGAGCCTGGGAGGCAGAGGTTGCAGTGAGCCGAGATCATACCACTGCCCTCCAGCCTGGGTGACAAAGTAAGACTTTATCTCAATAAATAAATAAATACATAAAGTTAACATAAATAATTTATTATTATTATACTTTAAGTTCTAGGGTACATGTGCACAATGTGCAGTTTAGTTACATATGTATACATGTGCCATGTTGGCGTGCTGCATCCATTAACTCGTCATTTACATTAAGTATATCTCCTAATGCTATCCCTCCCCCTCCCCCCCACCCCACAACAGGCCCTGGTGTGTGATGTTCCCCTTCCTGTGTCCAAGTGTTCTCATTGTTCAATTCCCACCTATGCGTGAGAACATGCGGTGTTTGGTTTTTGTCCTTGTGACAGTTTGCTGAGAATGATGGCTTCCAGCTTCATCCATGTCCCTGCAAAGGACATGAACTCATCCTTTTTTATGGCTGCATAGTATTCCATGGTGTATATGTGCCACATTTTCTTAATCCAGTCTATCATTGATGGGCATTTGGGTTGGTTCCAAGTCTTTGCTATTGTGAATAGTGCCACAATAAACATACATGTGCATGTGCCTTTATAGCAGCATGGTTTATAATCCTTTGGGTATATACCCAGTAATGGGATGGCTGGGTCAAATGGTATTTCTAGTTCTAGATCCTTGAGAAATCGCCACACTGTCTTCCACAATGTCTGAACTAGTTTATGGTCCCACCAACAGTGTAAAAGCGTTTCTATTTCTCCACATCCTCTCCAGCACCTGTTGTTTCCTGACTTTTTAATGATCGCCATTCTAACTGGTGTGAGGTGGTATCTCATTGTGGTTTTGATTTGCATTTCTCTGATGACCAGTGATGATGAGCATTTTTTTTATGTGTCTGTTGGCTACATAAATGTCTTCTTTTGAGAAGTGTCTGTTCATAACTTTTGCCCACTTTTTGATGGGGTTGTTTGATGTTTTCTTGTAAATTTGTTTAAGTTCTTTGTAGATTCTGGGTATTAGCCCTTTGTCAGATGGGTAGATAGTAAAAATTTTCTCCCATTCTGTAGGTTGCCTGTTCACTCTGATGGTAGTTTCTTTTTCTGCGCAGAAACTCTTTAGTTTAATTAGATCCCATTTCTCAGTTTTGGCTTTTGTTGCCATTGCTTTTGGAATAAAACCCAACTTCTTTTGAATATCTGGAAAGCCTTCCAAGAAGGGCGGGTACAAACAGGCCCAGACTGAGAGGACTACAATGAATGCCTAACTCTTAAATGCCTAGACATCAAAGAACATCTACAAGCATCAACACCATTCAGGAAAACATGACCTCACCAAATGAACTAAGTAAGGCACCAGGGACCAATTTTGGACAAAGATATATGACCTTTCAGAAAAAAAATTCAAAGTAGCTATTTTGGGGAAACACAAAGAAATTCAAGATATCTCAGAGAAGGAACTCAGAATTCTATCATAAATTTAACAAGCAGATTGAAGTAATTCAAAAGAATTAAGAAGAAATTTTGGAGATGAAAAATGCAATTAGCAATTGAAATAATTCAAAAGAATCAAGAAGAAATTTTGGAGCTGAAAAATGCAATTAGCATACTGAAGAATGCATCAGAGTCTTTTAATAGAAGTAATCAAGCAGAAGAAAGAATTAGTGAGGGTGAAGACAGGCTAGTTGAAAATACACAGTCAGAGAACACAAAAGAAAAGAGACTAAGAAACAATTAATCCCACCTGTGGGATCTAGATGATAGCTTCAAAAGGGCAAATCTAAGAGTTATTGGCTTTAAAGAGGAGATAGAGATAGGGGTAGAAAGTTAATTCAAATGTATGACAGAGAACTTCCCAAACCTAGAGAAAGATATCAATACCCAAGTACAAGAAGGTTATAGAACACCAAGTAGATTTAATGCAAAGAAGACTGTCTCAAGGCATTTAATAATCAAACTCCAAAAGGTTAAGGATAAAGAAAGGATCCTAAAAGCAACTAGAGAAAAGAAACAAATAACACACAATGGAGCTCCAATACATCTATCAACAGACTTTTCAGTGGAAACCTTACAGGCCAGGAGAGTGTGGCATGACAATATTAAAGCAATGAAGGGAAAAAAAACTTTTATTCTAGAATAGCATATCTGGTAAAAATATCCTTCAAACATGACAGAGAAATAAAGACTTTCCACAAAAAAAGCAGAGGGATTTCATCAACACCAAACCAGTCTTACAAGAAATGCTCAAAGGAAATCTTCAACCCAGAAGAAAAGAATATTAATGAGCAACAAGGAATCATCTGAAGGTACAAAACTCACTGGTAATAGTAAGTACACAGAAAATTATAACACTGTAACTGTGGTGTGTAAACTTCTCCTGAGTAGAAAGACCAAACAATAAACCAAAAGTAATAACTACAATAACTTTTCAAGATGTAGACAGTACAATAAGATATAAATAGAAACAATAAAAAGTTTAAAAGTAAGGGAACAAAGTTAAGGTATGGAGTCTTTATTAGTTTTCTTTTTGCTTGTTTGTTTATGCAAACAGCATTGTTATCAACTTAAAATACTGAGTTGTAAGACAGTATTTGCAAACATCTTGGTAACCTGAAACTAACATACAACGAATACAGAAAAAATAAAAGGCAAGAAACTAAATAATATCACCAGAGATAAAGGAAGACAAGAAAGAAAAAATAAAGGAAAAGACCACAAAACAACCAGAGAATAAATAACAACATGGCAGGAATCAGTCTTATCAATAATGACATTCAATGTAAATGGACTAAACTCTCCAATCAAAAGACAGAGTGGATGACTGGATTAAAAAAAGACAACGACAACCCAATCATCTTTTGCCTACAAAAAACATATTTCACCTATAAAGACACACATAAACTGAAAATAAAGGAATGGAAAAAGATATTCCATGCCAATGGAAACCAAAAGAGAGCAGGAGTAGCTATACTTTTATCAGCTAAAATAGATTTTAAGACTATAAGAAGAGACCAAAAAACGGCCATTGTATAATGAAAAAGGGGTTATTTCAGCAAGAGGATATGACAATTTTAAATATATATGCACCCAACACTGGAACACCCAGATATATAAGGCAAATATTATCAGAGCTAAGGAGAGAGATACCAATACAATAATAGCTGGAGATTTCAATAATCTCACTTTCATCAATAAACAGATTTTCCAGACAGAAAAACAACAAAGAAACATTGAACTTCATCTGCACTATAGAAATGGACCTAATAGATATGTATAGAATAATTCATTCAATAACTGCAGAATACACATTCCTTTCCTCAGCACATGGGTTATTCTCAAGGATAGATCAAGGGTTAGGTCACAAAACAAGTCTCAAAACTTTCAAAAAAAATTGAAATAAATCAAGCATTTCCTCTGACTACATGAAATAAAACTAGAAATCAGTAACGAGGATTTTTTGAAACTATACAAATACATGGAAATTAAACAATATGCTTCTGAATGACCTGGAGATCAATCAGAAAACTAAGGAAACCGAAAATTTATTGAAACAAATGATAATGGAAACAAGAAGACAAAACCTACGGGATACAGCAAAAGGAGTACTAAGAGGGAAATTTATAGCTATAAGTGACTACATCAAAAAAGAAGACAACCTTCTTAATGATTCATCTTTAAAAAACTAGAAAAATCAGTGCAAATGAAATCCAAATTTAGCAGAAGAAATAATAAAGATCAGAGCAGAAATAAATAAATTTGAAATGAAGATAACAATACAAAAAGCAAAAAGTTGGTTTTTTGAAAAGTTAAAATTGACAAATCTTTAGCCAGACTAAGAAAAAAAGAGAGAAGATCCAAATAAATAAAATCAGAGATGAAGAAGGAGACATTACAAATGAAACCACGGAAATGCAAAGGATCATTTGTGGATAATATGAACAACTATATGCCAATGAATTGGAAAATCTAGAAGAAACGGACAAATTCCTAGACACATACAACCCACCAAAATTGAACCAGGAAGAAATCCAAAACCTGAACAGACCAATAACAAGTAACAAGATCAAAGTCATAATCTAAAAGTCTCCCCACAGAGAAAAGCCCAAGACCCAATGGCTTCACTGCTGAAATCTACCGAACATTTGAAGAACTAATACCAATCCTACTCAAACTATTCTGAAAAATACAGGAGGAGAGAATACTTCCAAACTTATTCTACAAGGCCAGTATTACTCTAATACCAAAACCAGAAAAAGACACATCAAAGAAAAACAAGTACAGGCCCCTATTTCTGATGAATATTGAGATACCGACCTGTATCAACAAAATACTAGCAAACCAAATTCATCAGTACGTTAAAAAGATCATTCATTACGGCCAAGTGAGATTTATCCCTGGGATGCAAGGATGGTTCAATATATGCTAATCAATCACTATAATACATATTAACAGAATGAAAGATGAAAACCATATGATCATTTCAATTGATGCTGAAAAAGCATTTGATAAAATTCAACATTCCTTCATAATAAAAACTTCCCAAAAATTGAGTATAGAAGGAACATACCTCAATATAATAAAAGCCATATACAACAGGCTCACAGTTTGTATCATATTAAATGGGGGAAAAATGAAAGCCTTTCCTCTAAGATCTGGAACATGACAAGGATGTCCACTTTCTTTTTTTTTTTTTTTTTTTTTTTGAGACAGTCTCTCATTCTGTCACCCAGGCTGGAGTGCAGTGGCACAATCTCAGCTCACTGCAACCTCCACCTCCCAGCAGGTTCAAGCGATTCTCCTGCCTTAGCTTTCTGAGTAGCTGGGACTATAGGCATGCACCACCACGCCTGGCTAACTTTTAGTAGAGACAGGGTTTCACCATGTTGGCCAAGCTGGTCTCAAATTCCTGACCTTGTGATCTGCATGCCTCAGCCTCCCAAAGTGCTAGGATTTTAGGTGTGAGCCACCGCACCCAGCCAAGGATGTCTACTTTCATCACTGTTATTTAGCATTGTACTAGAAGTCCTAGCTAAAGCAATCAGACAAGAGAAAGACATAAAGAGCATCCAAATTGGAAAGGAAGAAGTTAAACTGTCTTTGTTTGAAGATGATATAATCTTATATTAAAATCTAAAGACACCAACAAAATACTATTAGAACTGCCAAATTCAGTAAAGTTGAAGCATACAAAATCAACATACAAAAATCAGTAGCATTTCTATATGCTAACAGTGAAAATCTGAAAAATTTAAAAAGCAATTCCATTTACAATAGTCACAAATAAAATTACATAGGAATCAACTCGACCAAAGAAATCAAAGATCTCTGCAATAAAAACTATAAAACACTGATGAAAAAAATTGAAGAGAACACCAAAAAACGGATAGATATTCCATGTTCATGGATAAGAATCGATATTGTTAAAATGTCCATACTACCCAAAGCAATCTACAGACTTAATGCAATCCCTATCAAAATGTCAATGGCATTCTTCACAGAAATAGAAAAGAAAATCATAAAATTTTATGAAACCACAAAGGAGACAGAATAGCCAAGGCTACCCTAAACAAAAAGAACTGGAGAAATCACATTACCTGGCTTCAAATTATACCACAGAGCTATAGTAACCAAAACAGCATGGTACTTGCATAAAAACAGACACATAGAACAATGGAACAGAATAGAGAAACCAGAAACAAATCCACAGACAGTGAATTCATTTTCAACAAAGGTCCTAAGAATATACACCAAGGAACAGACAATCTATTCAATAAGTTATGCTGGGAAAACCGGATATCCATGTGCAGAAGAATGAAGCTACACCCCTGTCTCTTTCCATATACAAAAATCAAATCAAAACAGATTAAAGACTTAAATCTAAGACCTCAAAGTATGAAACTACTATAAGAAAACATAGGGAAACTCTCCAGGGCATTGCTCTGGGCAAAACTTTCTTAAGCAAAATCCCATAACACAGACAACTAAACCAAAAACAGACAAATGGGATCATATCAAGTTAAAAAGCTTCTGCACAACAAAAGAAATGATCAGCCAAGCGAAGAGACAACCCACAGAATGGGAGAAAATGTCTGCATACTACTCGTCTGACAAGGGATTAATAACCAGAATATATAAGGAACTCAAACAACCATAGGAAAAAATCTAATAATTCAATTTTAAAATGGGCAAAAAATATTTAAATAGACATAACTCAAAAGAAAACATACAAATGGCAAACAGATATATGAAAAGGTGCTCAACATTATTGATTACAGAAATGCAAATCAAAACTACAATGAGCAATCATCTCACCTCAGTAAAAACGTCTTATATCCAAAAGACAGGCAATAACAAACTCTGGCAAGGATGTGAAGTAAAGGGAACCCTTGCACACTGTTTTGTAAGAATTTAAGTTAGTACAACCACTATGGAGAAAAAATTGAAGGTTCTGAAAAACTAAAAATAGAGCTGCCATATGTTCCAGCTCAAAGGAAGTTTGGTATATCTTAGAGGAAAGAAAAATAAGTATATCAAAGAGGTATCTGCACTCCTATGTTTGTTTCAGCACTGTTTACAAGAGCTAAGATTTGGAAGTAATCTATGTTTCCATCAACAGATGAATGGATAAAGAAAATGTGATACTTATATACAAAAGAGTGCTATCCAGTCATAAAGAAAAATGAGATGCTGTCATTTGCAATAACATGGATCACTAAACTGGAAATCACTATTTTAAGTGAAATAAACCAGGCATAGAAAAACAAACATCACATGTTCTCACTTATTTGCAGGATCTAAAAATCAAAACAATTGAACTCATGAAGATAGGGAGCAAAAGGGTGGTTTTCAAAGACTGGGAAGGGTATTGGGGGCGTTGGGGGCGTAAGTGAGAAGGGTTCATGGGTATTAAAAAAACAGACACAGTAAGACAGTATTTGATAGCACAATGGGTGACTAGTCAAGAATATTTAATTGTACATTTCAAAATAACTAAAGTATAATTGGGTAGTTCGTAACACAAAGGATAAATACTTTAGGGATGGATACCCCATTTTACATGATGTGATTATTATGCATTGCATGCCTGTATCAAAATATCTCATGTACCCCATAAACATATACACCTACTATGTACCCACAAAAATTAAAATAAAAAAATTTTAATGTCTTGTGACTAGTACCTGTTAGAGATGTAATATATACTTACTAAACAGAGTCACCCTAAATGAATTCAGTTAACACACAAGTCAACCATAATTTATGGATTTTTTCATTCTTCTTTTGAATATAGAACTTAAGAATATTTCTAAATTAATCTCACTGAAATATAATGGTGAGAGTTAATTAGATTGAAGTGTTTTAAGAGGGTTCAAGTAGTTTACACGTTTTCTTTTATAAAGAAAGCTATAAATATCCACTCTTTCTTATATCTCCTGGATCTCTCTACCACCCTTTAGCACATTATTTGCTTCCTGCTTTTAATTAAGAAGTTTCAACTCGGTAATCCTTTTTTTTTTTATTATACTTTAAGTTTTAGGGTACATGTGCACAATGTGCAGGTTAGTCACACATGTATACATGTGCCATGCTGGTGTGCTGCACCCATTAACTTGTCATTTAGCATTAGGTCAACTGGGTAATCCTTAAGATCTAAATACAAGACTTTGAAAAATGTTTTCCCTTTTATACAGGAAGCCAACTTTGCCCCTGGTAGGCTGTCTAAATCTGCTCCACAGGGAGTGAAGAAATTCTTCTACAACTTTATCCTGAACTGATTCTTTATTGAAAGAGGAGTACCTGTGGATTTAAAAATCTTTTAAATTCTCTCAAAAAGGAAGCCTATGCGTCTGTGATTAATTGTATCACTCATATATGCCATTTCTTACTTCCACAGAACCACGTATCTAACTTCCTAACAAATTTCAACACCACAGGGCATGTCCTGTGACTTGATACCAAGCACGACCTATAGCTTAAAATTGGAACACACAATTATGAATTAGGCCAATGAGTAACCAGAAAGTGTTCCTGGAAGGAAAGCTAAGAAACCTTCCTAACTCCATGCAGAAGACCCTAAGCTTGACAAACACTGTTGAGGTACATATCAAGAAGATGCATATAGCCTCCTAAATTTCAGGATTCAAATTTTTTTTTACAACTTTGTATACTGACTAGCCTCTGAAAGCCTCAGTGAGCTAGACTCCTTGACAAGACATTTGCAGTTACCAAAAGAAAGCGTGTAAAAGGTATTCACTGCTTAAAATGATGGGGTTGTCCTGGAAAATTGCATTGTTCACAAAGCAGCAAAGACTGAAACACAAGTTGAACTAATGATCAGAAAGCATATCCTAGTAAGACTGTAACTAAAACTCTAAGGGTCTTCTCTGATTTCCTGTCTGTAAAATGGACATGATAACTTCAAATCTATTTCACGGTCACATACCAAAATAGATACACACATAGATATATAGATATAAACAAAGCTTTGTTTTTATTGGTTAACATCGATGGCCCAGGTCTAATCTTTAGTTCTTTAGTGACCGTAAGTCACAAATAGATCATTTGTTGAGTTTTTAAGTGCAGACACATCATTCGAGGGGCTCAAATTCTATTCTTGGTTAAAGGTATTTAATGGTTCATTTTACATATATTTTGCCAAACTAGAATCATAAGATCAATAAACTGCCTTTCATTTTCAACTACAATTAAATAGCAAATTGACCCTAAAACCTTTTAAGATATCATCAATCTTTTAAGAAATTATGTGAGTGTGAGTGTGTGTGTTTCTTATCTAAGTTTCTAAGAGGGCCTAGAATTTTTTTAAGTTTTATTTAAGTTGAGGGGTACATGTGTAGGTTTGTTATATAGGTAAACTTGTGTCATGGGGGTTTGTGATACAGATTATTTTCTCACTCATGTATTAAGCTTAGTACCCATTATTTTTTCTGGTCCTCTCCCTCCTCCCTCCCTCCACCTTCTGACAGAGGGCCTAGATTTAAAAACAACTCAGTAGCAACAAGCACATGTGGCTGCCTAGATCTTAAATTCTAAACACTATTCTCCACTCAAAGGAATAGGACTACCTTGGAGAAATGACTGATTCCAAGGCAAGGATAGGAAAAGTACAAAATGAGCTGAGAACATCTCATTGTTTCAGAAAGTAAGAAGTGCTCAAAGTATGACCAAAACTGGGAGAGTTTGAGCATTAAAATAAATAATGATCATAGCAGATGATAATACATTGGATAAAATAATAATCTATAAATCCATATTGAAATGAAAAAGGAAGAAAGACAAAAAATAAAGGAAGGAAGGAGGGAAGGAAAGGAAAAACTTTTGAGGTAGAATGTCAATAATAAAAAAATAAAGTTAGAAAAATCATGATTTCTCAGACATAACAGAAATACTTGATGGACGCATTTCTACGAGAGCTCTGAGAAGCCAGCTCTCTCCCTCTCTGTCTGGATTTGGATGAGGAAGCCTGTGATCCTGGGAGTAGCTGGCAGTCATAACATTTTGTAGTGTTTCAACATCCTTTTCGGCACTCCACCTTAGTATAAAAATGAAACCAAGAAAGCAGGAAAGGAAAACGGTAGGAAAAGGGGCCCTTCATGCCATTTTTGAATTGGTGAATCAAACCAATCTTAAGTCTGCCCTAACTCGGGACTTCCAGTTACATAAACCGTTAAGTCTCCTCTATTGCTTACCTCAGCTTTAGTGTTACCTGCAATCAAAGTACTCTTGCTGATACAGACTTGTGATCTCAAAGTTTAAGCCTGCATTTTTACAAGTTTGGTTTCTGTGACACAGTTCAATAGACGTGGCATAATTAATCTATTCATTATCACTACACAGACATTAGAATTTTTAAGGCCTCACTATCATTACTTGTGGAAGGTTTCAATATAATAAATAATTACAACTCAATGTGCAATACAAAATGCAAATATTGAAAACCCTGTACATCTCTGAGTTGAGAAGACCTGATCAATGACAGCTATAGTGATTGTGCCAAAATATGACTCTAAGTAAATGTACCTAAATTCCAGTAATCTATCTCTAGTATAACCAGTAATTTTCTTTCCCTCCTTTTTCCCACCTCAATTTTTCCCTCAGAAATATATATAAAAGCTGTATCTAAATGTGGCTTTGAAACTGAAAGGTCATTCCAGGGGTGTGTGTGTGTGTGTGTGTTTCTCCCTTGTGGAAGAGAAATATGGAGGTACACAATGGCATTCTAGTTTTGCCCAATAGTTGTAATCTGCTGTACAATGACCTCCACAATTTCATCTCCCTGTATTTTTCCTTTTGTCTCTCTTCTTCTATTCCTTTTTACTGTATATTATTTACTATGGTGTTCTTTGGGTGGTCATTCAACAGTTTTCCTAATTCTCCTTGAAGATTTTGGTCCTTGGAAAATGTGGATTCTTTCAGTGCCAATTCATAAATATGTCCTCAGCACAGATTCTCTTTTCTTGGCTTAGTAATAACCAAGCAAGAGTATAGAAATGACCTAACTGGGAAGTAGGCATCATTAAAGAATACAAGTACGGGCCGGGCACGGTGGCTCACGCCTGTAATCCCAGCACTTTGGGAGGCCGAGGCGGGCGGATCACAAGGTCAGGACATCGAGACCATCCTGGCTAACATGGTGAAACCCCATCTCTACTAAAAATACAAAAAATTAGCCGGGTGCGGTGGCGGGTGCCTGTAGTCCCAGCTGCTCGGGAGGCTGAGGCAGAAGAATGGCGTGAACCCGGGAGGCGGAGCTTGCAGTGAGTGGAGATAGCGCCACTGCACTCCAGCCTGGGCAACAGTGCAAGACTCCCTCTCAAAAAAAAAAAAAAAATGAAAGTACAAATATGAAAATTATTTTTATGTCCATTCTGAAATCTTGGCTCAGGTAACTTATTGTTGAAATGATGATAAATTATTTCATTTCCTAAATTCCGCTAGCAAGAGACATTTCTCCAAAAAGAATAAAAAGAAAACAGCAAGTTGGCCTTTATGTTTTAAAATTACTTTTTTCTCTCCAAACCAAAAAGTGAAAACTCTTACTCACATTATTCTAATTATCTTAATTTTGTTAAAACGAACAAATATGGCAGGCCATACTTAGAAGAACTTTAAGTGATAAACCTCCAGTTAGAGAAATGCACTCCCCCAAAATAAACATTAACTGGCTTTTAAATTAATTGTTGTTTTTATTTCAGCGTTTCCCCTCTTGTCCTTAAAAACTCTTTATTTCCAAGCTCAGCTTGAAGGAAACTAAATAATAATGAAAAACTGTTTCATTGTATGCTTAGTGGAATATGTTGAATTATGGTCAATAAGAACATAACTTCACATTTTTAATACAAACTTTATGGATTCAAGGAGCATAGAGAAATGTCTATTTGATTTGAATGAGCACAATAAAAATATACAGAGCTCCTAAAATATTTCAAGTACCCTGCTACATTAAATTCCAAATGCATTCCTTATTATCAGATCTCTTTGAACATAAATTGATAAATAAACAAAGGAACCAACATGGTCTTTGGTTTCTTCATCTCTAAAACAAGGTGGTAAGATTAATACTGTTTTCATGCTACAAAAAAAGTCTGTGACTCCCATTTGTATCTTCTCATTTTCAGGTAAGAAGCAATATTGCCACAGCCTGCATGATGGATGGTAAATGTCAAAAAAAAAAATTTATGAATTCTGAAAAATAATGGCAATAGCAGTGACATAGTTTTTTAAACTCCCAAATGCCAGCATCAGAAAAAGAAAGGGCAACTAAATGGCAAAACCAAAAAACAAACAAGCAAACAAATAAACAAAAACCAATGGAAATGCTTAGAGCAAAAGTAGATAAGATGTTCCCAACCTCAAAATGGAAATGTGTGAGGACAAGTCACCAACATCCACCAGAGACCTGCATGGTATCAAATCTGTGTGGGAGAAAGCAGAGTAATCACAGAGCAAGTGAGGAACCTGAGAATGGGAGAGCCTCCAAATAGCCAACCAGTATTCACTGGAAAGCGTGGAGAGCGTATTTGAGAATGGAGGCAGAAACTAGCCAAGTTTCCAAATCTAAAACAGGTGAGAAAAATAAGTATTTCATAAGCTTTGAATTGAATGGAGCAGTCTATGAACTTTCAGAAGTGATCAGCTGGGGCTCTCTTCCAGAACAGAACCCCCACATTGGGATGAAACTCCTGGGGGTATATCAAATTGAGCAGGATAGTGTTAAGACAAAAGAGGAGAAGGGGCTTATGGAAAGAGGCCAGGAAATCTCAGAAAGCAAGACACTATCTTGCTTGGGTATACCTGAAAACAACAATAGGGAAAACTATGAGAAGTTAGAAATACTATCCTGGCCCATGTGTTTTAAAAGTTGAGAAAAACTAATTTCTCATAAAAATTTGGAGAGACAACAATTGAGGTCAAATTTCACGCCTTGATATAAGAAAAAAAAAAAGGCTAAGAAGCAGAAAAACACTACCAATAATGAAAGCATGCCAGAAAAATGTGCCCACATATCAGACAAACTACTTCAAAATGAGCTAATAGATATTAAGAAATAGTATAAGATATGAAAGAACATCAGAATCCAAAAAAACTCATAAATGAAGTGACAGCTCAAAAAATAATTCAAAATAAATTTTTTAAAAACCATTTTAGTAATGAAGAATAAACATGAAGGAGCAGAAAAGCAAATAGACATAGTATGTAATGTCTTATGAGAATGATAAGATGAAAAGAAGGATTATTTTCAAAATTAAAAGGGAATTAAGACAAAAATATAAAAGCAATGAAGACAGTTAAAAATGATTTAAGACAAAGTGGTAAATATTGAACATAAGCAAAGACAATTTATACTGATAAAAGGAGTCCCTGAAAAAAGAAAACCTAAGCAAGATTTGAGAACATTTACTAAAAACTATAATTTAATAAAACTTTCCTTAAAATTTTCCCAGCTGGGCACAGTGGTTCACATCTGTAAGCCCAGCACTTTGGGAGGCTGAGCTGGGAGGATTGCTTGAGCACAGGAGTTTGAGACCATCCTGGACAACACGGTGAAACCCCATCTCTACAAAAAACATTTTTTTTTAGTCAAGTATGATGGTTCATTCCTGTGGTCCCAGCTGCTTGGGAGGCTAAGGCAGAAGGATTACTTGCCCAGGAGGTGGAGGTTGAAGTGAGCCGTGTTCATGCCACTGCATCCCAGCCTGGGCGACAGAGCAAGACTCTGTATCAATTGAAAAAAAAAAAAATCCCCTAAACTACGTATGAAGGTTCATAATTACTAACAACAAGACATATGCTAGTAGAATTTCTGGAGTTTAAAGAAAAAGTGAAATATCCATTAGGCATTTAAAAAAAGAAGAACAAGTGACTTATAGAGGAAAGAAAACTAAATTGTATTCCTAGTGCTCAGATTGTGGTCTTAAAATATCATTTCTACTAGGGCATCTTACAGCATGATTCTCAGTAGGGGTGACATTGCCCCCAAAGGGGAAAAAATTGGTTTACGGGGGATGAAAAAAGTCTTACAATTGTTTGTGATCTTCCAAAGCTCAACCCAACCTGAAAAAAAATCTTATTTCTTAGTATTTAATTTAATTACTTTAATTTTAGTTATTAGATATTAATTTTAGCTTAATTAAAAAATTTTGATTTTTTCTTGGGGGGTGAAAATTTTTTGAGAGATTGAGATACAGTCTCAGATGGCTGATTACAGAGCTAGAACAAGAAATATATAAAATAAATCTGGAATATTTTGTCACGCCAGATAAGAAGCCACTATCAAAGATTATTAGGGTTACATCCAAAAATTCAAGAACTTGGAGAGACTTCCACTGGTTAAAGATGAGCTTCAATAAAGACAATAATTGCCATGAATTGAAATCTACCAAACATATTTAAGCCATAAGTTTATAATGATACTAAAAAGTAGTCATTGGTCACCTTCAGAGATTGATAAGAAACTAATTCCTTATCTCAAATTCTACCTTTCTATTATGCCCTATACCACTGGGTAATGATTATTTTTGAACTCAATGAATTAAGAGATATAGTATGTTCACATGACAAAAATAGAGACAACCAGACATTCTGTGCCTCCCATAGTTTTTGCAAATACCACCAAGTCTTGCAGAAGGCATCATATGATCCGTTGTTGTCATAAAAAACTTAAGAACAGCTTGAAGGTTCTTACTGGCCAAAACTGTATCAATTTCAGCATTAAAATTAATAGTGATAATAAAGTGTTCCAATCTGTGCATCCAAGCTCATAGAAATATGTAGGAATATATATTTCTTTTTAATAAATATTAAAGAAATAAGAGAATTTAAAAATTGCAGCCATCATAGTAATAATTGAATCAGGCAAGAATCAACAATGGGTACTAAAAGTAATAGGAGATAGTTTGCTGAGAAACATTTATATAAACTCAACATTTCTCCACACAAAGTACTTAACTAATTACAAAGGGGAAGGGGAAAATATAATTATTTCACAGAAGAGAAAACTGACAGACACCACTTCAAACCAATGATTCAATTTAACATCACCAAAAATGGGACAAATTGACATTGTATATCTCCTGATATGATACATCGTGAAGAACAGAGTACTTGTGTAATATTCCTGCCAAAAATTCATAAATAGAATTTAATCGTGAAGAAATACTGAACTCCTAAATTAGGCGACATTCAACCAAAGCAAAAAAATAATATGTATACCTTAAAAATGTCATAGTTACAAAAGACAAGAAAATACTAAAACTATTCTAGACCAAACAAAACTAAAGAGACATGACAATTAAATGCAACATGTAATTCTAGATTAGGTCTTGCATCCATTTGCTATAGGGTATTATTGGAACAATTAGCAAAATGTAAGTAGGGTCTCTGGATTCAATGGCAGAATTGTGTCAATGTTAATTTTCTCTTTCAGTTGGTTATACTGTGATTACCTGGGTTGTATAGTGGTTACTTCAGAAACTGCATACTGAATATTAGAGGAAATAAGGCATCTTGACTGCAATTCACTGTAAATTTGTTCAGAAAAGAAATTGTGGGCAGTGGTTGGTGGGGTGGGGGCGGCAGGGGCGGTGCCAAAGAGCGAGACAGAATGATAAAGTAAATGTGGTAAAATGTGAACAATTGGTGAAACTGACTCAGGAGTATAGGGTGGCTCTTTGTTCTTGCAACTTATTTGAAAGTTTGATATTATTTCAAAATAAAACGTTGAAGAAAAAAACCTCTCTGTCAAACAACTTTTAGGTCAAAGAAGAAACCCAAAATCACAGAATGTCTTTAATGACATTAAAAACACTATATTACAACAAGGATTGTGCCTATTTCATAGGGCTAATCTGAGACTTAAATGAAATTTGAAAGTGCTTAGGAAGTATTTATTAAATGATGCATTCTCAACAGAGAGTATATTACCTCCCAAGAGGTGAAAATTGGTTCTTGGGAAGTGAAAAATATTAGACATTAAAATCATTTGTGGTTGACCAAAGCTCAACTCTATTCAACAAAATTTTATTCTTCACTATACCATTTTTTATTAATGATAAATTTAAATTTTTTCTTTTTAAAAGGACAATAATGAAATAAAGGTTGAAAATTATTACCAAGAAAACTCCAATATGCTACATAGCCTGTGAAGAAAATATATGGCCTCAAATACTTACATTGTTAATTTAAAAAAAAGAAAATCTAAGCATTACATTCAATAGATTAGAACAGGCAAACAAAACAATCCCATAAGAAAAAGCAATAAAATAATAAGTGTAAAACCAGAAATTAATGAATTTTAAAAACCAAAAAATGAGCAGAACTAATAAGGTCAGGTTAAAACAGTAAAAAAAAACACATACAAACTGACTCAAAAAAACATGCAAGTTACAAAACAACACACAGAGTATATTCTACACATCTTACACCCTACCTCACACCCTCATGACCCACCTTTGCCAACAGCCATTGCTATGGAAACAAAATGCATGCAGGTGTAGCATGTCCCTCATCTCTACCAGGGGTTTTCTACAACTATGGTCAATATAAAACAGCTGTCCGAGAGCTGGCAGATTCTTGATTCACTGGCATAAGATTCAAAGCAGTAATTTGCAGTGAAGGAGATACAACAATGGACACATGTCCACAGCCTAACAGGACAATGAAATGGCCCATTAAAGGCTCAACTAAGGAGCCAGTTCTAGGAGAAGACTCTATGTGGTCAGGGCACCATCCTCCCAGATGAAGTTATAGGCATGGAATCAGTGATCAATATAGCAGGCTATGTTGTTCATAGCTGGAATACAAAAACAGGATGCAAATAGGATTGGTCTCTCATTATCACACTCCATGACTCATTTGCAGAATTTGTGCTTCCTGTCCCCTCAACATTATCCTCTACTAGATACTTCCTTCAAGAGACCCAGCCGGGGTTCCACTCAACCTGGAGTTTTGACAACCATATGGACTTTGTCATAGCAGGCAAAGAAAAAAATCACCATGGGGGTACAGATAATTGGCCCTGAATACCATGAGGTGCTAGAGTTGCCACTATACAATGGGAACCGGAAACAGCATATTTGAAACCCAAGAAACCCACTAGGACATCTCCTCGTGTTTCCTTAGTGAACATTAAGATGAGATTAAAAACACTGTTACAACAATGATTGCCCATCTCATAGGGTTAATCTGAGGCTTAAATAACATTTGAGCTAAAAAAAATTATGGCCCAGTAAGGGCAAAGCATTGAAGACTCAGATCCCTCAGGAATGAAGGTCTAGATCACTATATCTGATAGAAACCTAGGCTTTCTGAAGTGCTGCCTGAAGGTGGAAGAAACCAGAACAGGTGGTAGAAATGGGAGATGATAAATACCCATTGTAGGCTCAGAACAATGACAGCAGCAACAACCTGCTTGTTCTACTAACCTTCCTCTATTAAGTCTTTTGGAAATGTTGTAGCCACTGCCATAGTGAAGTTTCTGTAATGGAGTGGATTTAAAGGAGGGAGATATCTCCCATTGTCTGACCCAGGGTTTCTCTGATGCTGCTGTGTGGGACACTTGCCGAACCCATGTGGTCTGTTGGATGCATGAAGGAGCCTGAATTGCAGGAAATTAATAGTCCATAGAGAAGCCCTAAGCATGGGGGTGTAAGAACCAAGGGATATAATTGCTCTCCTCTTCGACCCTCAGGTAGATAATTCTGAGGCACATTCCTCCCAGCTTCTCAGAGGGCCTCCAGCTGGTCCTTCAGGAGCTATTCCAGAAGGAGGCATTGTTATCATGGCAGATGACAGCTCCATGCCTGTTATTGCCCTGAAGACCTTCTAGTGGGACAAGACGTGGAGGTGGAAGACGATAATATTGATGATCCTGACCCTGTTTAGGCCTAAGCTAATGTGTGTGCTTATGCTTGCATCTTAGCTTTTAACAAAGAATTTTAAAAGTAAAAATAATAAATTTTAAAAATCTTCTAGAATAAGGATACAAAGAAAACATATTCTACAGCTGTCCAATGTGTTTCAAGCTAAGCATTATTATAAAAGCATCAAAAAGCTTAAAAATTTTTAAAGTTTATAAAGTAAGAAAGTTACAGTAAGCTAAGATTAATTTATCATTGAAAAAAGTTTTTTAATAAATTTGGTGTAGACTAAGTATAGTGTTTATCAACTCTACAGTAGTGTACAGTTGTGTCCTTGGGCTTCTAGATTCACTCACCACTCACTCACTCAGAGCAATTTCCAGTCCTGCAAACTCCATTCATGCTAAGTGCCCTACATAGGTGTATTATCTGTTATTGAGCGAAAGGGACTCTGCCTGATGCATTCGAAGCCAATACTATGACACCAGGTTTTTGAGAAAAGAAAAGCTTTATGTTGAAAGTTAACTCCCAAGGAGACAGGAGTCAAGCTCAAATCTGTCTCCCCATGCTGGCTTTAAGACAGTACTTTTATTAGAAGAGGTTTAGAGGGTGGATTTTGAGATTAGCAGATCACTGGTGGAAGGAAGGGGAAGGTCTAGAAAGCCCTTGGGCATGCACACTTATCTCTTCATGCTACCTTATGGATTGAATGTGCAAATTCAGGGTGGAATTACTATAAAACATGTAGTGGAAATTTAGGCTGTAACATCAGCAAGCTTGTTCTGCACAAACTCCAGTCAGCCACCTTGGTTATGACAAATTTCAGCCAGTTCTTTTATCTCAGAAGGGAGAGAGTTTCAGTGTTTCGGCAAGTTATATCTTTTCTTATCTGCCATCCTGCCTCAAGAACTTCTATCATTCATTTCTTTAACTCTTTGGCAGATGGTTTCAGGATTACCATTTTTAATCTATTATACCATATTTTTACTATACTTTTTCTATGTTTAGATATATGAATACTTATTATTGTGTTACAGTTGCCTCCAGAATTCAGTACAGGTATATGCTATACAGAGTTGTGGCCTAGGAGGGACAGGCTATATACCCTATGGACTAGGTGTGTAGTAGGCTATACCATTTAGGTTTAAGTACACTTTGCAACATTTGAACAATGATGAAGTCACCTACCACACGTTTCTCATATCCTCACCATTAAGTGACACATGATTGCAGTCACTTGATTGACACTTCCTCCTTCCCAGTCTCACTCTTCCTAGTCCATCACGATTGTTCCCTAAAACCACTTCCCAATATAAATTACATGCTAATAGCATTTTTGCAAAGATTTTCATGGCATACCAAACAAAAATGTATATAAAAGCAGAGAAAAAACTGAATACAGGTTATTCTTATTTTCATGGTGAATTCTGAATATTCTAAGTTTTCAACACTGAACATGCAATAACATTTTCATCCAAAAATGTTGTACAAAACTAATGCTTTCAAAATTTCTAAGGATTTGATTATAATGCCTTGAATTAGCAGCAAAGGCTCTAGAAACATGAAGATAAATTAGTATCTGAATGTGTTAACACTAGGTTTCTGGTTAAATGGAGTATATTCTCATCTAATTCACCAGTTACTTTTAAATCACAGAACTAAATTGGGAGACAAAGTAATTAAAGCTGTGTCCTTACACAAAAATTATTGTTACTTTTTACTTTTTGCTCATTTTGAAGAATTGAGTATTTCTGACCTTGAGTCTCAATGAAATTCTGAAATAGTATAAAGCCTTAATCTGGTTGAAAACAAAGATGTCTTTAAAATACTGATGTAAAAATAGCCACGAACAGTGTTTTATTATAGGAATGTTATTTCACTTTTTTTTTTAGGTTACTGCATGAAAACGAGAAACTTCTGAGCTTTCCTTGTCTCCATTCCCACTGTCCTGATATTCCTGTATTTTCCAAATGTCATTTGTAGAAGCCCAGTCACAGACACAACCAATATTACTCTTCAAACAAAACTCCTGGATCCAACACAGAGATACAGTAATCAGGACCATCCCAGAGAAGGTTCAGATTGGGGCAAATTATCTTTAGGCCATCCTTCCTCTACCTCTGCCAAAACGTCCCTGTTCTGTACTGTTAAGATTAAGAGCACCATGTATTTCCAAACCACAAGCTCCTTCACAGCACTTTGTACAACTATGATCACCAAATTAATTCTTGAAAATGAGTAAATGCCTGTTGTTTCTACTAGACTAGAAATGCCACAATGACAACAGCCATTCCTCTTTGTTCATTGCTATATCTGGGATGCTAGGACACAGCCAGCACCCAGTAGGTGCCACATGTACACTAAAGGCAGCCTTGAAAGAAAGGTTTGCATAGAAATAGGAACAGAAATAGCAGGGATAGTCCCACTTCATTTTCTTGGTGAAAAGGAGATAATTAAATCTGATTGTAGGTCATCTCTGTCAGGCAGTCAGAATAATCCTCTAATCCCCTGATCTAGGTGTTTTCTGAGTGCAGTAGTTATCAACACATCCTAAATAAATTAAAAGGTCTGTTTCAAATAAAAATTCCTCTGTCAAGAGAATAAATTCTAAATATACTTCTCTTTAATTTATGAATTCCAGGTGGAATTAAAGAGTCATACCTTATAAGGGAAATTTTTCCTATGTTTACTAAAGTGGGCACTCATTTTGCTTCTTTAGAACACTTTTTTATTACACATCTCTTGATGAATAAAATAATGCAATAACAGGGGCTTCATTTTCAGTAAAGCTGAGAAGTCAAACTATATTTCATAAAGCCTGAAAACATAATTTATGTTTTCCATTTAATACCCAAGTCTGCAAATGTTGACCACTAGAAACACAGGAAACACAGGATTCCTTATTATAGTTTTTGTAATTCTAATACCAAAGGTACAACCAAATAAAGGTCTCAAATATTTGTGCTTAATTTTAATTTTCCTTTAGCTGTGGTACGTAATGTTTTCCTTTCTACATGAGTGGAAGGGGTCTAAACTTTTGAAGTCAGCTCTTTTATATTCACAATGAGTTTCAAGCAGTAGAAATAACCTTGGAGACAATTTACCTATATCTAATTTTAAAGTATGTATTTTAAAATGTATTTGACTATCTTTATAGGAATAGTACAGTATAGAGAGTAGAGCTTCATAGGAAATCACAACTTACCAAGCTCGCTAACGAAGACCGGCCTCAGGAAGAGATACCTTGCTGATATGCACAGTTTTTTCTTCTTGAGGGCAACAGATCTTCCACATTGTGTTCCCCTTTTGCCCCAACATACTGTTTTGCACATAGTAGGCACTCAACAAATTTGTTTTCCATTGAATTTAACTCTTTCCTCAAAGTTGAGGTTTATACCCAAAGGTAAACTAACAGCAGTAGAAGTTGTTGCCCCTCTCAGATAACCTTTGTGGATAGATAAGCTCACCTCCCAGCTGCTGAAATTGCTCTAGCTAACAGCTTATACCTGTGACCATCTCTAGAGCATTGCCTCAGCTGGAGATGCCTGGAAAATCACATCACCATTATCACCATGCCACGCCCACCCCTGAGGATGGCCAATGATTGGCTAACACAGAATACAGAGCAGGTTCCTCTTGCCTGGAGACCGGACAGCTCCAGGTGGAACCACTTACACTCCAGAGCCCTCTGCAAATCAGGCCAAGGCTGGATGTTATCCAAGACCATATCATTGCTCAATGCCTCCCCTTTGCCAATTTTGCTGCCTTCACTCCCTTACAGATTTTTCCTGAGAAGCATTTCCTTGTTAACTCACATATACCCAAATCCCTGCCTCAGGTTCTTCTTTTAAGTAATATAATCTAAAACACACGTACTCTCTCCCCCACCCCAAATCTGCCAGTATGACTCATATCCTTGATAAGTTGAGCTTGGGTTTACTTCTGCTTAACTTTGTTTAATAAGTATTGACTATTGCCTGAGCTTCCCCAGGCAAAGACAAAGCGCTGGTTCCTAAAAAGGCAAAGTGTCCCAATCAGGCCTGAGATTAGTCAAGAGGTCATCTTTAAGTATGCTCCTGCAGTGTCAAGGCTACTTGAAAACATAGTTAACAATTCTGAACATAATTGATTGTAAGACTCAAGGGGCTAGATTCCAAGATAAAATTAGGATGGAAAAATTCACATTCAAATGATTTGCCATTAATTATTATCACATAAGATTGTACAGTTATTAGACCACTAAGAGTCTGATAACCTAGTTCTCAATAAATAACAGTATTTAATTGCGTTATTGTGCAAAAGTTCATAGCAAATGTATATGTCATATATTATAGTTACATAGAGAATCAAATTTGATATATGAATTAATACAAGATAGAACTTTCTCATATAAACATCTAAGAAACAGAAGAGTTGAGGTATAGTTTTTACCAACAACTAGAATGAGAAAGTAAATGATCATGTTCAACAGCAAACATTTCCAGCCCTCTCCCAGTGTCAATAATCAGGTGACTTTAAGCTGCATCTCTGTAATTCTCTAGATCTTCATGATCTCAAGGTGGCTGCAAAAGCTCCAAATATCATGTTTCCACCAGAATTGCAAAGACAAAAAGCACAAAGGGATAGCTGTCTCTCACTGGGAGAAGAAATCTTTCCCAAGCTCCCCTAGGAAATGTACCTGGGTCAGAACCCAGCCTCTTGACCACTCCAAGCCAGAGAATAAGCCCATTTACCCGAAGACCATTTTCTCTGTCTCAAAGCTGAACAAAATTGGAGATGGTGGAAGCAAAGTTCTGATCCAGGCAATAAATAATTCTGCTATATTCAACATTAAAAGCCAGGGAATCCCCTTCAGCAAATTTGTTTCTGAATCCCCTTCTCAAAGCTTTAAAGAGTGATTTCACCACACTAAAGGCTCTTTCCTCTTAGACAATAAGCAGTTGCACATGTATATACTGTTAGTTATAAGAGAGAGAAATATTCATTTCAATTCAAAGGTGTAAAGAGTGGTATACTGTAACTTTTCTGAAATAAATGGGGAAAAAAGACCTAAAAATAGACATTTTTGGTCTGCACATTTTACAATATTATGTAATTCTTCACATGCAACAAACACTCAATTCATGTTGTCCATTCAGAGGGGGCAATGTGTACAGACAGCCAAGGGCCAAACAGAGGTAGCTTCAATCTAGGCTCTTTTACTTACCAGCAATGTGACTGCTGTGTGCCTCAGTTTCACCATCTTTTGAGGGTGAAGATCATGTTTGAAAAAAAAAAGAGTACAGTTTCTGGGCCATGAACCATAGCAAGTACTCAACAAATGATAGCTATTATTAGTTCAGGAGTCTAAAAGCTGAAACTGACAGTCACCTAACCAAATATTATTCTTTTCCTCAACTACAGCAAGAAAGTAAAAATGACCAGGATCAGCTTCATCTCTTTCTAACCAAGTTTCCTCTGACCTAAAAGTGCCTAAGAAGTTATGATTTACTGATAAGAATTAACAGGTCTGAATGGTCCCTTCAGAGAAATTCCTTAAAACTTGCCTCCTAGATGACTCGTGATTCATTGGACTTAGTTTCTATTTTTCACATGAGTTGTAGTAAGGAAATTCAAAAGTAGCTAAGCCAATTTCAGTCCATTTTCAATATCACTAATGGCTTTCACCTATCTATTTCTCTTTCTTGGCCTGAATGGTATAGTTTTATGTGAAAATCTCTTGTTTCTAAAGGAAAATAATTGCATACTTATAATACACATAAGTTCCATCTTGTAAGCCTCCAAGATAGCATCAATTACCTATGTATAGAAGGAAGCCCAGTATTCAAAATGCCTTCTCACATTTCAGAAACACTGTCCTCTGTGGTATGAGAAATACTTTTATCCATAAAATTTCTCTAGATGATATTTTTCTCTCCAAAGTTACATCAACCACATATTAAAGTGGATGGTTTTTCTAGCCATATTAATAGTTTTACAATATGGATTAAGTTTGTCTTTGCTATTCTAGTTCTTGTGCCAAGTAAACTATGTCACGAACTAACAATACTTGGGGCCTTTGGTAACTGAGGAATTATATAGGCCAATCCTTAGGTACTAACCCACAATTGTCTTGGATTTCTTTTGTATGGGTCTACTGGTGGAAGAAATTACAACTTTCCTCATATTAGATACTTTCTTTTTGGAACACCTATATTTGGTTTGCAGAAATAAAATACCATAAAATAGAAATAATGGTTTCCAGAAGCATTATAAAAGATATATTAAATAAGAAATTAAAATCTCTCTCTTACCAAAAAAAATAGATATAATTCATATAGTTGAAACAATTATTTGACTATAGGGAACAATACAGATAAATACATTGCATGCTATAATACCTAATAAAATTTATAATGTATGTCAGTTTTTTGCTTTAGAAAAAGCAATGACAAGATTTTAGTGTCACAGGAACAATGACACTTATTTCTTACTCCTTTGTCTGCAGGTGAGGAGGCTTCAGCTGAAGTCCAGGCATGGCCAGGCTTGACACAAAGCTGTGGGATGATTCCAAATCTGTTCTGGGTTCCAAATCTGTCTTTCCTCATTTTGGGCTCAACAGATTACCCAAGGCATTCTCTCATGGGGATGGCAGAGAGCATAAAAGCATGCTGAAATACCCAAACACATTTCAAATACTTGCTTGCGTCACGTCTGCTAACATCCCCTTGGCCAAGGCAAATCACAAGGTCAAGCAAGCCAAAAGTCAGAGCAGGCAAGTAAATTCTGCTCTCCATGAGACCTTGGCAAGGATGTGACTGTATACTACTCCTACAGAGGAATAAAGATTTGAGTCCCATGATTCAATAAACAATAAGAATGTAACCTAAAGTATCTCTGTCACATGTGCATAGGGAGACATATAGATGGATATGTATATAGCATTGTTTATAAATAAGCAAGGAATTATGTCTATCAGTGGGGAATGGGGAAATAAAAAATACTTCACTTATATAATAAAATTTACATGTTAGTTAATGCGATAACGTGGCAAATGTTTTTTAAAAAGCATTGTGGGTCAAATAAGGTACAAAATACTACATGTAATGTGATACCATTTATGTAATTTTAAAAGAACATACAAAGTAATATCATGCATTCTTTATGGATATACATATTTGTAATCCAGAATAAAAACATGATGGAAAAGAACATACTAATTTCAATGTAGTGAAGTGGAGGGAGAAGAGATGAGACTGAAGTTTTAGCAAAAACACAAATTTAATTTAAAAAGAAAGAGCCCAGGCCAGGCGTGGTGGCTCACACCTGTAATCCCAGCACTTTGGGAGGCTGAGGTGGGTGGATCATGAGGTCAGGAGTTCAAGACCAGCCTGGCCAAGATGGTGAAATCCTGTCTCTACTAAAAATACAAAAATTTGCTGGGCGCAGTGGCAGGCGCCTGTAATCCCAGATACTCGGAAGGCTGAGGCAGGAGAATCACTTGAACCCAGGCGTCAGAGGTTGCAGTTAGCCGCAATTGTGCCACTGCACTCCAGCCTGGGTGACAGACTGAGACTCCGTCTCAAAAAAAAAAAAAAAAAGAGCCCATAAAAATATGGCAAACTGTGACTATTTCTTAAATCTGAGTGTGTGGTGAGTAAATGGATGTCTGTTCTTTATATATTCAAAATATAACTAAGAATTATAAATATGTTTTGTTAAATAGCATAAAGACTAACCCAATTACCCATAATGCTTTTGGAAAACACTGTCTCACGAGAATTAAAGATTCATTGAGCTGAAACAATGAGACAGCCTGAAGACTACACAACACTCTCAGTAATTTGTCCATATATTATCAATTCTCACTCTCTGGGACTACTTCTCTCCTTATAGCACTTAGAGGTTTTATTCAAAACACTTCCATCATCTGTGAAAAAGCCTGATGTTTGATGACAACTTTAATTGTGGAGTTGACTACCCATGCTGAGCAATCTGAGTTTTTCTGGATTTTGTCATACATAAAACTCCCTGGGAATAATTTTAATACACAGAGACCGTAAGTAGCAAATAGAATAATACCCAACTTTGGCTATCTTCTTTGTTTTAAGGAGAGCTCTTGTTGGGTTGCAAATATAGGCTTGATTAAAATCTGAATGTGTCCACAAAAAAGAACTCTCTAACTGAAAATGTGTTAGCGAGATTTGTGGGTTCTGCCAAATCTCAGCTGAGGATAGAGAGCTACAAATATTGAACACCTAGTGTATATGTCAGGCATTTGTGTCACATGTATTTTCCCACATGATCTTTTTAACAATTATAAAGTATAGGAATTATGTCCTCCACTAATGGTCAAAAATGACAGGGCAGAGAATTAAGTCCAGATCTGTCTGACACCAAAATCTGTGTTCCTAAATCACATCACTCTGCCTAAGTTAGGGCACTTGGAGAAATCCCAGAGGGTCATCCCATCATCACAAGAGGCCTGCTGGAAAAAAACCTCTATCCATGATGTTTACATTATCTACACTTGAAAAACCCTAAGCAAAACAGTAAAATCAATGTATTTGGTCTCTGAATACTCCAGCCCCTTTTTTCTCGATTGATTTAGAAACCTGCCTTTTTCAGGCTTACATTGTTCTTAGGTCACCCCTTTCTTGACCAGATATCCAGCCCAGACTTACTTCTAATTCACTGACAGTATCCTTTCCTTTATTCTCATTCTCTACTGAAATTATCAAATCCTCCCAGCTGAGCCTCATAGAGGAAAACATTTTAAAGACTGATTCATACTAACAATTGATCAATGTGTACAGTCCCAGAAACAAGTGTAAAAAATGTTATTATATAGTGACTAAGAGTGAAAACTAGCTATAATTTCCATCAAAAGACCTAAAATAGTATTACAATTTAAAAGTACATATGGCAGTTCTATGTCATAAAATAAAATTCAGCCATATTGCAATTTTTAGAAAATGCTTACAATTATTTATGGATAACATTAATGAATTTGCAACTACTACATCTTAGAACAAATATAGCCAGCCAGACAACTCAATGTATTCCTTGCCCTGGGGATGTCAAACAAAGATATCAGAAGAGAACAATGGCCCCACAAGAGTGCAATCTCTCTAGATGATAAAATGTTATATAAGAAGAAGAATGGGTGAAACAAATATTATTCTTTCTATTTCCTTTGCAGGAACACATCACAGCCTGGGACTAATATATTCAACCATTTTTTTACTTTAAGCCTCAGAAGGCACCAGCAACAAGTCTTTTTATCCCATAGAAGAAATTAATATTTTCCTTTCTATATAAGCTTATACCAACTACCTAAATAACACAACATACTAGAGAAGCCCTGAATAATACCATAGATTTCAAGAGCCTTCCAAGGCAAATGACCCCCTTCTGCTCAGAAAACCAAACCAAACCCTCTGAGCACTTCATGGGCACTATGCTCATGCAACAAGTATTTACTAAGCACCTACTATGTGCCAGATGCTATGCCGTGTCCTCAGGATACAGTTGATGTTAGGTAGCATCTCAGCCCCCAATGTCCTCTGCCTCTTATTATTTACCCTGTAATCCCCTCTCCTTGAGTGTGGGCTAGACCTAGTGACTCTTCCAATAAACAAAATGGCAAAAGTGGTGGGATGTCACTTCCAAGATTAAATTATGAAAATACTGTGGCTTCTGTTTTGGAGGCCCTCTCACCCTGGAGAAAGCCTACTACCATACAGGGAGGCATCCCTGGCCCATGTGAATTAGCTTGAAAGCAGATCATCTAAGCCTGCAGGCATGAGCTCAAGAGCAAATCTTTCCTCCTAACTTGACTACAACCTCAGGAGAGGTCTTGTGCCAGATGAACCCAGCTAAGCCACATCCAGGTTCCTGACCCGCAGAAACTGGGAGATAATAAATCTTTGCTGTTTTAAGCTGCTAAATTTGGGGATAGTTAGACAACTATAGAAAACTAATACACAACGGTTTATAAGACAAGGTCCTTGCCTAAGTGGAGCTTACAATTGAGTAGGTACTGATGGATGATAAACATAAACATAGATAATATCATTTTATATACTTTTAAATATTATGGAGAAAGTAAAACAGGGTAATGGGAAGAAGAGTGACTACATAAGTGTATGGAAAAGGGAGACCCATCTGCAGAGACCTGAGTGAAATGGACCTGAGCATTCAAGACAAAGGACATACGGGATTGCAATAAATTAAATGAAAAACTAGGTATGAGAATTCACCCAAATTCTGTTAAGCTAGACATTGAAGAAATTGACAAAAATGTAAGGCAATACTATTATTTTCAATACCTTTTTTTTTGAAAATTATAGTTTTTTATTAAATATGTATATTACTGTTATTTTTAAGTGAATTAACAAATATTTTTAAATGTTGCTTTAATTTTTAATATAATTATCAATAGATATAACTCATGTAACAAAGTATTTTGGAGAACCTCAACAATGTTTAAGAATACAAAGGGGTCCTGAAACCAAAATGAATGAGTACTGCTGGTATAGAGTATTGTGGAGCATGGCTTGGAATGTGACTCTTGTTCTAAGTTGAATGGGATAAAATTCCATTGAAATGTTTCTAATCAGAATGCTGGGATCTGACTTACATATTTAAAAGGTTATTTGGTATTCTGTAAGAAGAATGGACTGAGAGGAAGAGAAATGAGAAAATCTGTCAGCACTTGGCAAATAATAACCCACAGAGGTTTTCACAGGGACCTGAAAAGGAACAGTTCTGAAACTGACAGTTGAATTTTTCACATTAGAAAAACATCCCATGTGAAACCACCCATATCTCTATTATGCAACTGAAGGCTTGCTATTATCATATTAATTTAAAAGTATAGGGTGAAACAAATCCTGATGATACAGGATGCCATTTCTTTTCACTTGTTTTTCAGACCCTGGTAAATGTATCCCAAGCCTTCATGTTATATTCTGTGGACCTTCCCTGGGTACACTACATAATTTCTAAGCAAAATAGCAAAATTATACTTTGGTGACATTATCTGCAAGATGAAACAGCCAGAAAACAGGGCTACCTGCTGGCTGCATTAGGCCTTGCTTTTGCCATTATGAAATTCATGCTTCTATAAATTGGCAGTAATGGAATTTCACCTGCCTTTTAAATAGCACTTTTCGAGATGAATACAATGTTATCTCTAACACTGATATGCCACAAAAGTAGAAAACAAACAAATCAAACCAAAAAGTGTCTAATTTTATTATATCATTTGGTGAAATGTGGTGGGGGTTTTTCCTGCCAAATATCAACCTACAGAAACAACAGGATCTACTCTGACATTCTATAACATTAAAATCTCAATAAAACTGAATTACTATAGATGTTTTAAATATATTTACTAAACTTTTCTGCCAATTCTAAGAAAAACCCAATGCTGTCACCAGCTAAGAAGTTTTAGCTTCATTTTTCCCCCCATAATTAGTGTTTCAAGAAACATAGTTAAAATGCCAGGAAAAACAGAAATTATATGTTTTTTTAAATTATATGAATTTCTGACTTTGTTCATAATCCTCTTCATGAACTAACCAAACACAGAGGTAAATGCCTACCCAATGTATCCTAAATACAATCCCACATATCACATCATTCTCATTGCACTCAGTAATTTCCTTTACTTACCTCTAGAAATGTCAAGGAAAAAAAAAAGAAAAAACTTCCAATAATTTTTTTTTCTGAGTAGAAAAGAAACTGGATGGCATTAAAGAATAAAACATAATGGCACAAAAAGAAGTGAAAATCTGCTATGGATTTGGTATAGTGTGGCTAATTTGGGCTACAGAGTACTATTTTAACCTAAATTGCTCATCATGGCTTTCAACATAGAAAAGCAGAAGAAATATCAGATTATTACATTCTCTTTGGGCCAGCTTCAAGCTGACAGTTTTAATATTGCTATTGACCGGTGGCAGAACAGAAACTATTTTCTTGGCTTTGTGATTATGAAATCAAATGTGGAGTAAATGCAAACAAACCTGATATTAAAAGGAACAGCTTTTCTGAAATGAAAGTGTGATATTTTTTAAGCACTCCTTGCAACCTAATGGAATTTACCAGAATGAATTTTAAATACTATGTTTGAAATAGAACTTGATTTGCAAAAATTCATTTCATGCAATTTTCAAAACTGTATTTAAAGTAAAGCACACAAAACTTATTAAATTATTTGCACAATAGGTAGAAAAAGGAAACCCTGGCACTCGGTTTAATTTCCTTCTACTTCTCTCCATCTTCCATCCTTTGCTCTTGCCCTGATTGATAAACTCTCAAGACCTCACTGTTCCTGCTTGGTAGGGTAGCAATGGCCATACAAAGCAGGAAGGTTTAAACAGAAGTAGCACTGAGTGTGCTATGGCCAAGCTTACACGGGGCAGCTGCCAGCATGATGTGATTTTGAACATTCCAAAAGGCCTCCATGCCCCCCAAATTTTTCCCACTAGCTTCTACTTCAGAGCCAGAAACTTCCATAGCTTACACCCTTTGACCCAAGGAAGTGGAGACTCTTGCCTAAACACCAATATTACCTAGAAGATAATAGCATAGCAAGGATTAAGTGAAAGGTAAAAGAATGACCTTCTAAGAGTTGTGAGCCAGCACAATAGTGAGAGACCGCAAAATCCAGACTAACTAAAGTGGAAATTTCATGCACAATAAACTTGTGTGGGTGAAATGAGAAAGTACAGTGTCACTAAACTGGGACCTTTGTGCATAAGTAACATGGTGAGTAATGGGTGTTCACTGACAGGACAAAACGAATCTTCCTACTGGAGCAGAAATCCAAAGTCTTGAGATAAAAGCAAGTAAGGAGATACAGGAAAAGCATGTGCCAAGGAAGGAAATCAGATATAAGTCAGAGGAGTTTTTCTCTGGGGCATCTTTTTGCTTGTTTGTTTGTTGTTGTTTTTTAAAAGGGGTCTCACTTTGTCAGTCAAGCTGGGTGCCATGGCACGATCATAGCTCACTGCAGCCTGACCCTCCTGGGCTCAAGCCATTCTTCCACTCAGCCTCCTGAGTAGCTAGAACTATAGGCATACACCACCACACCTAACTAAATTTATAACTTTTTTTTAGAGACGGAGATCTCGCTATGTTGCCCAGGCTGGTCTCAAACTCCTGGGCTCAAGTGATCCTCCCTCCTCAGCCTCCCAAAGTGCTGGAATTATAGGCAGGAGCTGCTACGTCCTGCCTTCTCTGGGTCCTCATAAAGGTATCATGTAACCTTCCAGCAGTTGATGAAAAAGGATATGATAAGCTTTGTACTCAAATATACATTTGATATTATGGCATGGAAGTGAAGTGGAATTGTTCAGTAGGTTGGCACTAACAGTCTGTAACTTAGAAAAAACAGGACTAATGGTTTTAGATAAAAGAATTTTCCATAATGAGTTGATGGAGGAGGGTGAAGAAGTGACATTGCCAGCAAAATATATTAAAGAAAGTAGGACAGGAGCTATAGCTATGGGAACCCAGAGTAAGCACTGAGTGAGGAAAGAAGCAAGAGAAGGATTTGGGGATGAAAAAGTGGAGCAAGAAGGGTGTAGATAAATAAAGGAGGGTAAGAATTCCAAGAAAAAAAAGTGTAAACAACAGTGCCAACTGCCAAACAGAAGCAGTCAGGGTAAGAACTATTCAAATGAGCCTGGGTGGAGCAGGGAGGAGGACACCAATGACCTTCACTGAATAGGCTGAGTGGAATGGTAACGACAGACTGTGCTAGGAGAAACTAGAGGCACTAAGCATAAACCACTCAGTGGCCATTAAAGGAAATACAGAAGCAAAGGATAGCTCAAGGGAGGAACAGCGTTAATCAAAGATTTTGCTCAAGGTAGAGGAGACCTAAAAGAAGAAGTAGATCTTATCTCTTCCTTCTGGCTCTGAAGATGGTAAAAGCGAGTTAACTAGACAAGAATTATTTTGACCACAAATCTCTCCAGAAAAGGAACTGGGAAAAGATTAACTCCCCCTCTAAAGTAACAGATGTTGGCTTCTCCTCCAGATACATTTGTTAAGGAATGTAGGATGTTCCTCCAAATACTCCCCACTCTATTCTACACCACCCTACTCCCATCCCTGGGACATTATTTTCTTTGTACCAGTTCCCCTCCCACTGGGTCCCAGTTCACCCATTTCTCACACCAGGCCTGGTGGTGAGACTCATTCACTTCCCTTGTTTTCAGCTGAACTATCTACTTTCCTCTAGACCAGGGTTTCTCAACTTCCACACCGTTGTCATTTTGAACCCAGTAATCTTTTGTTGGGTAGGTAGGAGGTGTAGTCCAGTGCAGTGTAGCTTAGTAGCATCCCTGGCCTCTCCCCACCAGATGTCAGTAGCATGTCCTCCCACAGTCAAGATAATAAAAAATGCCTCTAAACATTACAGAATGTTCCTTTATGGGGAAAATCCCCCACACCCACATTGAGAATCACTGTTATAGACACTTCTCTCCCCCGATTCTCCCTATAGACTGAGATAGACACCCTGCTGCACCCCACTTCTCCCATACTACCTGTCCCTGAAACAAGCAAATGATGCTTTTCATTTTCTTTCCGACAATTTTCACTACTGATAACTGACAAAGCTTAACAAATATCATCCTAACAAAATTCCAGTTTCAAGAATGCTCACAGAGTTACCATGCTCCTTAGATTCCAGGGAAATGTGAAGTAAGCAAGGGCTGTAGTTTCCATGCCCACTTCCTGGACTCCCTTCTTAGCCAGCATGTGGGATGTGGCTGCACCCTAGTTGATGGTGAGACTGAGTGCTGGACCTGCCTCCTGGTTCACACTCATGTGGACACACAGTCAAGTTGTTAAGTCCATTAGATCTGGTAGGTTTGGCAGGACAGCTCTCAGCACGTTGGACTGGCCCTGTGCTGATCCCTCCTTTCTCACTTCTATTTCTCAAGAATAGCGATAGGGTGTGCTGAGAATGTAACATCCTGAAATAGGGAGATACTGGCCAGCACATCCTGGGCTCTGTTCCAGTCCCCCAGAAACAGGATGCCCTTCAGTGCTTTAGCCCAGTGAGTCTAGCAACCCTGGGGTATAAAACCTAGTGAGGGCTGCTTTCCTGGGTCCCTTAGCTGCAGTGCAAATAGGGCACATGAAGCAGACTCCATCTTCCACAGGAAGCTTTCCTAAGCCTTGGGGGACTGACTGACTTGCAATGAATTCTACACTTCTGTTGTCCCTTCCTACCTATCTGTAAGTAATAAACTTGCTTCATGTGGTGTGTTGTGTGTGTGTCTCGTCTCACCAGACTCAGACAAGTTGATATCTAGTTCACAGTGAACCTGCTTTGCAGGTTTGCTTATTTCATTGCCAGGTATTCATAGTACTGTCACCACTTTTTGTCAAAAATCACCGTGTAGTTTTTCTGCAGTTTTTACTTATTCTGCTATCTCCACCCTCAACATCTACTACTCATATATTCACCCTGCCCAAGTTTTAGTTCATTCTTAACTGACTTTGCATCATACTTAGAGACTTTTATGATTCCAGTCCTGGAATGTTAATCCTTCCTGGGATGCTGGGATGAGAAATAGCATCTCCCATTTGACTCCAAGGCTCCCAACTTAGCTCTCAAGCTGACCTCATCCATCTTGTTCCCCTGACGGTCTTTACAGCTCTGACTGTGTGATTCATCCCTTTCCCCAGTCCTATTTTTGCCTGCACTTTCATTTGCCTTAAACATCTTTTTACTTGAATGTCAAGACAAGTTTCACGTATTAGACCTTATATAAATTCTTCTTTACAGTCCAAGCAACATCGTGAGTCCTTAGCTCATTTGAACAGAAGATATGATAAATATACCCTAAATTGTCAATACATTTCTGACGGATTACAGTAGCTTTGCCTACTTTTCAAAGCCTCTTTGAATCATTACTTGTGTCCTTTTCCACATCTCTCTAAGGAAGTGGGTTTTTTTAATTAGGTCGTTTTACATATAGAGCAATACTAATTGATACAGTTGACTGGAGATACAACCCTGACCTCGTGACCAGCAAGGACATTAAAATCTCTTGCTTCTAAATTGGATTTCTTTGTGGAAACATATTTGCGTATCTCTTTGGAATCCCCTCTTTGCATGTTAATTGGTTGAAATACAAAATGATATTGATTGGTCCTATAAAAAGAAAGAATATGGCTTGTCTTCCTTATCTTTTTATCATCTTGAAGATGGTTAACATTTATCAAAAATAGTCTATGCTTAGCAGTATGCTACAATTGGCTCCTAGGCAACATGGCTGTGTTCTTGCTTTCAGCCCTCTGCCCTCACATGAGTACTAAGAAAAATAAGTGCTTATTTTTCTGACCACTTTTTGACTAATCTATTCAGTCCATGCTCCAAAATATAAGTGGACACTTCTCCTGAGGCTTTCGTTAAAAAACCCTTTCCAAATCCTACCAATTCTCCTCTCAAATTGTGTAGCCTAACATAACCACTAACTCTAGCAAACCTTAATTTGCTTAAAAATAAAAAAAGAAAAGAAAGTCCCCAAAATGTCAATACAAGAGCCCAGGATATTCACCACTTGACCAATGACTGACAGTAAACACACACACAATGAGCCCAGTCCTTCCGCTGAACCAAGACTCTTGAGAATCTGAAGAACATACACATTGAATTGATCTACTCATGTCACAGACGAAACTGACAGGAGAGAACATTTATATCATTCTCCTCTCTAACCTACAAGATAAAGACTTGTCATGTGTCACTATAATTGTTTCCCCATTATTAAAATGTCCATTGCAGAAAACTCAATAAATAACAGAAACTATAAGCCTTGGACTACATCCAAACTTTGTATTTAACTGACTTAGGAAGGTTGACTAAAATTCCGCTTGGTGTTGTAACTTAAAAGCAAGTGAGATGACAGCTCTAAGAATACATATACATTCACTTTTTGGAGTCCCCCCAGATTATTTCTACAATTTGGAAGAATTGTAGAAATGATGAAATGTACAACAAAAATCACAGAGGTGAGAATTAGTCCCCGTGGGTGTGCTGCGATTGAATATAAGAGAGAAAGTGATAAATTTGGAAAAGAGAAGAGGAAGCATGTCTCTTTAGGCCACAGAAAATAACATACAAACTAGGGAAGAGCGTAGGAAGCGTTTTTCTCCTACTTCTTGCCTCCCACAGGAAATCACTAATACTTTCTGAGAAAAGGGATAAGCTGTCCAGTTTCTACTTATTAATGAAACAGCAATTTCTAGACTTAAGCATATTAGTGAGCACTGTTCTTTATAATAGCTCCAGAAATTTCTGCTTAGGAACAACGACAACAAAAAAACACCACCACCTGAGAGTAATCCCCATTGTTTCTAGGGTAGACTCACCCTAATTTAAGTGTGACTCAAAAGTGTGACTCTAAAGAACTGCAAGCAGATTAATGTAAGAAACTCCTGCTAAAACCCTGCTAAAAACACTCCAATATAATGTAATCCTCCTTATCCATGACTAATTGAAGCAAAATGGGCAGCACACAGAAATGTGTGCTTTCAAAAGGAGCATGTTAAGCTTGAATGTGACATACAAGCCTTTTCGAGAACCTTTACTAGACACAGTTGAGTGGAGGTATTGGTTCCCCCATTTCCCTTCATTTGCCCTCTTCTGAATGTGACCACTGTGTAGGAAGAAGGTCTAGCCCCTAACAGATCTTGGTCTGGCGTCCTTAATCCAGAGCAGCACTTTAAGGGGCCAGGTCAATTATCAGGGAGAAAAAGGCGAGGGCATCTTCCTTCCACTCTCTCCTCCCCCAAACTAAACCTTACTTTTGGGATTGTACCCAGAATTAACCTGGAAGCCCAATGATCACAGCAGACAGACCTAGATTTGATCTGACAATAATCCCCAGGATTGACCACCAAGCTAATTTCCATCTCTAGAATTTCACCACCCACCAGCCTTCTCCTAAGTCATTTTCACTAGATAATAATGAAAAACATTCAGATCTCTAGCACAATCGCATTTTCTGATTCAGAGGAGGAAACAATGTCACTAAAAGTCAGAAGGTATTTACAGAACTTCTAATCTCATCTGTCCCCTATTAACAGTAATACTTGATTCTTTATGTAGTTCTGTGTTTAATAATGCCTCCAGAGAAATAGGTTCTGATCCATTTGAAAATTTTGGAATTATTGTACAATCTTTTTTAATTATTTAGAGATCTTTTCCTACATTTGAAGGCTTCAAAACAGTAGAAAAATATGTTCCCATGAAACAGCATATATTCAATATACTACCATGCCGAAATTTTGGGAAGGGTGTCGGCTTGTATATGTGTTATAACCTGAATGAAAAACATGGCTACGTGATTTAAAATATCTAACTTTCATTACCACTTGGTGTGCAAGGAAGGCTCTGAAGGATCTGTTTTCCCACCTCTGTTTTCAGATCCCCACTCTCCACACATTTGCAAACTCAGATCGCATTGTTTTCTTCACATGGAGGAGGGGATATGTCCTCCCTGGTTAGCATTTTGACCATCAGAAGACTAGGATCACTACGTAACTGATTATCCATATGTTTCTTGCCTGATAATTAAGATTTATATTTTTGCATGAAATCTCAATAATCCAGAAATGCCATGTGACATTAAATATTTCTGTGCTCTTCTTTCCTACTTGTTATGAATTGTGTCCCCATCCCCTAAAATTTATATATTGAAATCCTAATCCCCAGTACCTCGGAATGTTACCATATTTGGAGATAGGGTCTTTTCGGGGATAATTAAGCTATAATAAGGTCATTAGATTGGGCGCTAATCCAATATGACTGGTGTTGTAAGAAGAGGAAATTTGGACACTGACAGAGAGGGAAGACAGTGTAAAGATACGAGGGAAAAACGGTCATCTACGAGCCAAGGCAAGAGGCCCGGAACAGATTGTTCCCTCGTGGCCCTCAGAAAGAATCAACCCTACAGGTACCTTATCTTGGACTTCTAACCTCCAGAACTGTGAGAAAATTAATTGCTGTTGTTTGATCTACTCAGTTTGTGACTTTATTACGGCAGCCCTCGCAAACTAATACACCCACCAAAGGAAGAAGAGTGCAGGAAGTTTCAAGATGCCAAAAACACAGATTGTAAAACAGTAGGAAATGGGGAAGTTCATTAAGATGACACGTGGGAGCCAACAGGTTACATAAGAGTACAACTGTTATGCACTCCCCATAAAGGAAAGGATTAATTTTAGGTCCTGCTGAACCATGTAAAAGGTGTAAATTAAAGAAAATTATCTCTCTGACCCTAGGCATAAAGGAAAAAAAAATAAGAGAACTTGTAAATATAAAGTAGAAAAAGAAATCTGCCATATTGAAAGTATATAAGGGCATTGAGTTAAAATAAGTAGTCCTAACATTTAAATATGTAAGACATTTTAAGATCTTTGAAGTTTCTCAGTGGCAAATCCTAGGATCTCCTTATAATGCTGAAAAAGTCTCACTAACTGACTTACTCTTTGGAAAATGATGGTAAAAATTGTAGATGATTGTAACACTGTGAAACCTAGGCTGACAAATCCATTTCAATTCGATTTATTGAATCATTGATAATAGATTTTTCCTAACATAATTTTTTAAAAAATGAAATACGTAGCAATTCCCTTATCATTAACACTGATATAAATGACAACCTGGAACAAGTCATTGATTAATTCTGGCCCTCTGCTTCCTCATTTATAAAGTGGAAAATATATATATATAGGTTATAGCTACATAAATATCTGAGATATTCAGGTGGAACTTTTCATCTTCTTAGGTAAGAGTCATTAGAGGTGGCACAAGCAAGGGGCACACAACATATGAGTTTTATTTTTGCTGTAGTCATTCTTATTGTATCATCCTGCTCACAAAAATAAAGAAATGTACCATCTAATGTTTCATACAAAAAAAATCATTTATCTGTCATTCATGTTGTAGAGAAATTTGAATTCTCTTAATCATCCATTGTGATTTTGTCCTAAAGCATCAACCTTATCATTGGTTTTCTATCCATTAGCCAGAATATTAGGTTGATTATTATCCTCCAAGCACACTCTTTGCCAAGATCTACCATTGTTTTTCATTAGCCGAGGTTCTGGAGGGAAGGAGATAGAGCCTATATAGATGATGGATGGGGTTAAGAACCCAAGGACTAACAGGATTGTATAAGAAGCTACTGCTGGGTGATATATGCACATGTTGGAGTAATGCTCACTAAAAGTGAGGAGGCAGCATGAAGCAGTTGGCAGGACAACAGGCAGCCTAAATTACATCATTCATTTAACAGGTCTAACATATGGCAACTATTAAATCTCCAAAACAAATGCAAAGCTAACCAGCGCTCTCATAGAAAAGACACTTTCATTCTTGATTTTTCTAATAAAATGCTTCAGTCTAAGTTACTGCCAATTTCAAAACAATAATAACATATATTTCTAAATCCAATAACAATATAGGACTTGCTAAAATACTAATAGCCATCTGATAATATATAAAATGTTAAATATTCTTGTTTTTATATCTTTCACAATTTTTTTCAGGAGCTCTGTAGGAATAATTTAATGCTTTAAAGCAACAATTAGATTCTGTAATACATAAATCAGCTCATAATTATTTTCAGAATGAAGGACCCACAAATGCATTATATTAAAGCTGGCCTTTGCTTAAAACAAGTGAAACACATCTTCAATTCTGTCATTTTCCAGTTAATCTCACTTGTGATGCAAAAAGCATAGGAGAAAACTCCAGTGATCTTTTAGGGAAACTAATTTTACTCTTGTTCTACACAGTCTTCAAATAATTACCCTATACCCTGATGTGATTATTACACATTGTATGCCTGTACCAAAATACATCATGTACCCCAGAAATATATACACCTACTATGTACCTATAAAAATTAAAAATTAAAAAATTAAATTATTTTTAAAAATAATAATTACCCTAAGCAGGAAACAAGAGAGACAATAAAAGAGAGCAAGGCACAACACACTCTTACTTCATGAATAATCGTTGGAAACTTCTTATTGTACTTAGGTAAAACTCTTCATCTAAATAGTGTGTCTTCTGGTTAGCTACCCTCAAAAGTCTCAGGTCCTCTGTGAATACTCCAGAAGAGTGAAGGGCCTAGGACTACTGGACAAACAACTTTACACCAAGATTCAGACTCCCAGAAGTTAGTGCCTTCCTCACCGTCTACCTATTCTATGCTTTATCCTTGTCACTTCCAGGCTTGACCCAAGTGTTTTTCTCCCTAGTCCTTTGGATTTAATCCCATCCAGCTTAGCCCTTTGCCCTTTGATCTGACTTTTCCTTTCATCCTACCTCCCATTTACCAATTGTCTAAAGCTTTACAATGTACTCTGTGGAATATCATTCTTCTGCCTAGAAATGTCCAACATTTTTAACTTTTTAAAGAATGTCATTTTTCAGGTGGAGTTTTGCAGCGAGCCGAGATCATGCCACTGCACTCCAGCCTGGGCAATAGAGCGAGACTCTGTCTCAAAAAAAAAAGAGAGAATGTCATTTTTCTACCCAGTATCCATTCACCTTTTTCCAGATCACATTACCCCAGTTTTCCTCTGGGAAACTAACTTCTTCCTTATTCAGTTCAAGTGTTTATAATGGAGTTAACTTCACCTCTGTCTCCAGGGGCACACAAGCAACTAATGCAAGAACAATCAAAGAATTATATTCCAATCCCTTCCTCTGACTGGAAGGGGCCACATAGATCACTCACTGTAAAGAATGAGTTGGTAAAGGCCCACATGAACTGAAGACCATGAGCCAAGTTGAACAAGGTAAAAGTCTGGAGATCTTAGTGTGGGAAACTGTCTGCTGCTCCCCCTCACCCCCACCCTGGTGCATGGGAATATCTGAGAGGTCGTCTGTGGCCCCACTAGTGAGGCATTCCATAAAGCCATTTCTCTAGAATAGCATTCAGGTACCACGTCTCGGAGGGCTTCTCTGAGACCTACCAATAGCTCAGCGGGTTCTTCTCACCCTCCAGCCCAGGGGATCTTAACTCTAATCTTAGGGGAAGCCCTGTTCTCTTCCTTCTGCTTCTTTAAATATCCTGTCCCTTCCCAAAATACTCTTAGTTATCTAAGGACCTAGGGTTTTGGAACACAACTCTGGAGAGACTCTTTCTACACTGTCACTTCCCTTCCCCAAGGTGATGAGCTCAGAGCTGCCCATCTGCTCCAATTGGGAAAGAAAAGATGTGCCAAAGGAAGTAAAAAATAAATCCCAAATATGGTATTACATCATAATCTCCTGTGGAATTAAATATTTACATCCCTGCAAGGAAAACTTCCTTCACATCTTGGTGTTATCCTCACCCTCCCCAAATGACCCCTTCCAAACATACACACATTCCAGTTCCTGTTCTGAATCTGGGTCCGAATCCCAATAGGATGAGAACTGTTGTGCACAAAGCAGCCTGACTGCCAGAGTGATGTTTTCTCCAAGTTCCCCAAAGATGAGATAAGTAAGAAGAGACCTTGGGTGCATTCTTCCCCTGGTAATGCTCCTTATCTGAGATTACCCATGAAATTCACCCACTTCCCACCAATAGTGCCTTCACCATCCATCCCTCAAACTCACCCATCACTTCCACTGAACTGAGAGAAGACCTTGAGGGACCCAGTTTACTTGAGAAGTGAGAAGCTGTTGTGACCTAAATAAGGTGGCAGGTGTTGTAAGCAGGCTCCCCAACCTCAATCTCCACCAGAACTTCCTCATATCCAAAAGCTACAATGTCTCCAAACTTCAGAGATCTGCAGAATAAGCCGAAGTAGGGGTTTACTGAGCCCAGACCCTTAAAGGTGCAAATGACTCCACTCTCTGGTCTTTTTCATTTTCTGAGACACTTTCCTCCTGGATGAGGGTTTCCTATAAATAAAAGTTGCCATGAAAATGTTTCTTTTTTCCTACAAACTAAACAAAATACGGGTGTGCTTGTGCTTCACTGGAGTCTTAGAAATGTCCACCTTCCCATGCAGAGCAGTGCTCTCCTGAAGCTTGTTAAGTAGTCCCATCTCCTTTCCCAAGAGAGTGTCTGACTGCATCCCAGGCCACCACGTCAATCCACAGCACATTAAGGGGACACCCATCTGTCAGGGCACCAGGATCCTTCTACCTTAGAAGCTGCCTTACAAGCAGGGCATCCCAAAAGACCTGCTGTGATAAGTGCCCAGCTGTGCCATCTGGCAGGCCCTGAGCCACTGCTGCTGGAACCACTCTTCCCTCTTCGAAGTCCATTCTAAATTCAGAGTCTAAGAAAAATGCCTTAAAAAGAATATCTCGTGCACCTTCCTTTTTAACTACTTTCCTAGCGTGCATAGAACTCAAATCCAACCATAGACTTTATTCAGGTTACATTTGTCCTCTCCTCCTTCTGTCCACCCTCCTCAGGTTGCCTGAAAACCTTAAGGCATTTTTGTAGAGCTCTTTTCAACTTGGCCACATTACAACCCACTGGTTTTACTGAAATCACAGAAGCCTTCTGAGCACATACTTTGTCTCTGCACAGGACCATGGCTATTGCCCTGCCAATGACCTGGCCCTAATTCTAGAGTATGTCAGTAATGCTAATTCAGAAACGTGCTACATAAGGAATCCCAGCAATTTCAGAAAGGTCTCCATTATATCAAATACAAGTCTCAGCCCACACAGCAGGTGTGCCATGTAATATTACTTTTCTATAGCAATGTAATATTACTTTTCTATAATTCAGCCTAGCTTTTATTTCAAGCTCCATTTTGCTAAAAAGGCAGAAAATTTAATCTGTTGGCTTGGTGTTCTTCCTTTCTCACTCTCTCTTTCCTTGGTTGTGTCTAAGTCCCCAAGGATTTGACAGTGTTATACTGTTGGTCACCTACTAAAGCATCTGTGGCCTATCTGGTCCTCTCTCACCACAGAGACACTCACTTCTGTCTGTGGGGTCCTTGTGAGTCCAGCAACTCTCTCCAGTGCTCTGAGTCTTGCTCGAGGGACCCAGAAACTTCTGTCAGGACATCAGTGGCTGGCCTGCTAACATGCACTGCCTATCAGTTCCTGTTCTGAATCTGGATCTTTCCCCGTGGCTTCTCCTAGAAAGTGGATCATAGGGCCCTACTCTCTCATGCCCCACAGACCTGAGACTGCACATTCTCTCAAACATTTCAAATTAAGTCTCAGAAACACTGGTCATTCTCTACTGAGTGCTTGGCCTGGAAGACTGTGTAGGGTGGCCATTTTCCACCCATGCATGGAGAAGCAAAGAAAGCTTGTGTGAAAAGAGAAAAAGAATAAAGTGGGTTCTCCTATATAGTATTTTGGGAAGGGACAGGGCAGAGGAATAAAGAAAAAGAGCCAGAAAATTGCTATCTTAGACCCTAATGATTTTCCTGGTCATGGACCCAGTCTCTTGGAAAGCTAGATGAATATTCGCTTTCTGATTCTGTGATATACTCCTGCATCTTTCCAATAAATTTTAATTTGAGTAGGTACCTGTTAAAATGGATTTACAGCTTACTTATAGGTTTGGTTTTAAAGTCTGTAAGTGAAAAAAATCACATACAGTAAAGATTATCCTTAAAATACTTTACAGTGCTTAAAAAGTATAATGTCTGTAAAAATGGAAAAGACCAGAGAATGGAGTCATTTGCACCTTTAAGGGTCTGGGCTCAGTAAACCCCCACTTTGGCTCATTCTGCAGATCTCTGAAGTTCAGAGACATTTTAACAGACATTATACTTTTTTACAACTCTGCAAGATGAGTTTATTGGTTCTCCTAATTTATCATTTGTGAAAGTTTTACCATTGAATCCAATTAATACTTCACTTTCATCAAGAATGTAGGTGAATATCTCATCAGTAACTCACCTGGTCACCTGAGCAGTACATTTCTCTGTTTTCAGTGATAAAATGATTTTAAAATAAAATCATTTATACACGAATTTCCATGGTTCTTGACAAACGTGTCTTGACTATTGACTATTTCAATCCCCAGCATTATTCAAATTTTCTTACTCTTGCCTCCACTTTTTCTCTAGTTCTCTCCCTAACTGGGGCTTTCTCTCACTTTTCATTTGGGGAAACTTTGAAGTTTGGAAAGTTAATGATGCATGTGATGAAATCATATTGTACTTGCAAACAAGAAATCCCAAATTAAAATAATAAAGTTAAATTAATGCAGACTAACTCAAAAATTTAGACCTGGAAAGGATATCGTCTACTCTAGGGCAACTTCCACATTTTTGCAATGAGGAAATGAAGGCCTAGAGAGACGATCTCTTCATAGTAACTTCAAAAGTACCATTGTGATTAAGAACATCAACTCTAGAATCAGCTACCAGGATTAAATCATTACTCCACTACTTAGTAGTTATGTGCCCTTGGGCAAGCTTCTTAATCTCTCTGGCTTCAGTCTCCTCCTTTGTAAAATGAGTATGGTTATTTATAATAGCATCTCCCTCACAGAGTTTTTGGAACCATACATGAGAGTATAAGTGCAGGGCTTTGGGCAGCAGCTGGCACATAGTGAATATTCAATATATGTTATCTATTAGTTTTTATTTGTGCCAGTTAGTAGCAGAGCTGGAACAAAAATTGAGTTTTCCAAATTTCTGGCTGGTACTCTCCCCTGTGCCAGGATCCCTGTCAAGCCCATGGTGAAAGGAGAATAATGAAAACAGGAGCTTATAATGTAGGGAAACCAAGAACCATGTCAAATAAGCCATCAGCACAGTGCCTGGCCAATAGTCAGCAGCCAATATATGTTTACTGGATGAGTCCAGAGGTGGCCACAAAGTAGAAACTCACATGCACGGAATTTCAGTGACAATCACTGGTTAAGTTCAGAGGGTCCTTGCTAAAAGAGGGATTTACTTAAGAAAATATTCAGAATATATTTCTAGGTATTCCACAAATTTGATACAAATGTTGTTAAATATATATATATATAAATATGTATACAGGTGTGCACACATGTATGTTAAAGATATGTATACAGAACACATGAATAAAATAATATGGAAGCTTTTTGCATCAAAATGTTAGCACTAAAAAGTAAAAAATAAAAATAAAAATAAAAATAAATGTTAACAATAAGATGTATAATCTGAGGTAGCTCTTGTGTTCTTTTGGGTTTTTCATCCTTTTTAAGTCTCCTGCAGAGAGCATGAATTAATTTTTTAATTAAAAGAAACAAATAAATGATTTTATTTAAAGGTACCTAGACCTAATTTTAAGACAAGTTGAATACAAGTGGAATTGTTAATATTTATCATCAATAGTTCTTTATAATTCCCCAGTTTTTTGTTTTGTTTTGTTTTGTTTTTTATTATTATTTTTTATTATTATACTTTAAGTTTTAGGGTACATGTGCACAACGTGCAGGTTAGTTACCTATGTATACATGTGACATGCTGGTGCGCTGCACCCACTAACTCATCATCTAGCATTAGGTATATCTCCCAATGCTATCCCTCCGCCTCCCCCACGCCACAACAGTCCCCAGAGTGTGATGTTCCCCCTCCTGTATCCATGTGTTCCCATTGTTCAATTCCCACCTATGAGTAAGAATATGCGGTGTTTGGTTGTTTGTTCTTGCAATAGTTTACTGAGAATGATGATTTCCACTTTCATCCATGTCCCTACAAAGGACATGAACTCATCATTTTTTATGGCTGCATAGTATTCCATGGTGTATATGTGCCACATTTTCTTAATCCAGTCTATCATTGTTGGACATTTGGGTTGGTTCCAAGTCTTTGCTATTGTGAATAGTGCCGCAATAAACAGAACTGTGCATGTGTCTTTATAGCAGCATGATTTACAGTCCTTTGGGTATATACCCAGTAATGGGATGGCTGGGTCAAATGGTATTTCTAGTTCTAGATCCCTGAGGAATCGCCACACTGACTTCCACAATGGTTGAACTAGTTTACAGTCCCACCAACAGTGTAAAAGCGCTCCTATTTCTCCACATCCTCTCCAGCACCTGTTGTTTCCTGACTTTTTAATGATTGCCATTCTAACTGGTGTGAGATGATTTGTCATTGTGGTTTTGATTTGCATTTCTCTGATGGCCAGTGACGGTGAGCATTTTATTCATGTGTTTTTTGGCTGCATAAATGTCTTCTTTTGAGAAGTGTCTGTTCACGTCCTTCGCCCACTTTTTGATGGGGTTGTTTGTTTTTTTCTTGTAAATTTGTTTGAGTTCATTGTAGATTCTGGATATTAGCCCTTTGTCAGATGAGTAGGTTGCGAAAATTTTCTCCCATTTTGTGGGTTGCCTGTTCACTCTGATGGTAGTTTCTTTTGCTGTGCAGAAGCTCTTTAGTTTAATTAGATCCCATTTGTCAATTTTGGCTTTGGTTGCCATTGCTTTTGGTGTTTTAGACATGAAGTCCTTGCCCGTGCCTATGTCCTGAATGGTAATGCCTAGGTTTTCTTCTAGGGTTTTTATAGTTTTAGGTCTAACGTTTAAGTCTTTAATCCATCTTGAATTGATTTTTGTATAAGGTGTAAGGAAGGGATCCAGTTTCAGCTTTCTACATATGGCTAGCCAGTTTTCCCAGCACCATTTATTAAATAGGGAATCCTTTCCCCATTGCTTGTTTTTCTCAGGTTTGTCAAAGATCAGATAGTTGTAGATATGCAGTGTTATTTCTGAGGGCTCTGTTCTGTTCCATTGATCTATATCTCTGTTTTGGTACCAGTACCATGCTGTTTTGGTTACTGTAGCCTTGTAGTATAGTTTGAAGTCAGGTAGCGTGATGCCTCCAGCTTTGTTCTTTTGGCTTAGGATTGACTTGGCAATGCGGGCTCTTTTTTGGTGCCATATGAACTTTAAAGTAGTTTTTTCAATTCTGTGAAGAAAGTCATTGGTAGCTTGATGGGGATGGCATTGAATCTATAAATTACCTTGGGCAGTATGGCCATTTTCACGATATTGATTCTTCCTATTCATGAGTATGGAATGTTCTTCCATTTGTTTGTATCCTCTTTCATTTCATTGAGCAGTGGTTTGTAGTTCTCCTTGAAGAGGTCCTTCACATCCCTTGTAAGGTGGATTCCTAGGTATTTTATTCTCTTTGAAGCAATTGTGAATGGGAGTTCACTCATGATTTGGCTCTCTGTATGTCTGTTATGGGTGTATAAGAATGCTCGTGATTTTTGTACATTGATTTTGTATCCTGAGACTTTGCTGAAGTTGCTTATCAGCTTAAGGAGATTTTGGGCTGAGACAATGGGGTTTTCTAGATATACAATCATGTCATCTGCAAACAGGGACAATTTGACTTCCTCTTTTCCTAATTGAATGCCCTTTATTTCCTTCTCTGCCTAATTGCCCTGGCCAGAACTTCCAACACTATGTTGAATAGGAGTGGTGAGAAAGGGCATCCCTGTCTTGTGCCAGTTTTCAAAGGGAATGCTTCCAGTTTTTGCCTATTCAGCATGATATTGGCTGTGGGTTTGTCATAGATAGCTCTTATTATTTTGACATACGTCCCATCAATACCTAATTTATTGAGAGTTTTTAGCACGAAGCATTGTTGAATTTTGTCAAAGGCCTTTTCTGCATCTATTGAGATAATCATGTGGTTTTTGTCTTTGGTTCTGTTTATGTGCTGGATTACATTTATTGATTTGCGTATATTGAACCAGCCTTGTATCCCAGGGATGAAGCCCACTTGATCATGGTGGATAAGCTTTTTGATGTGCTGCTGGATTTGGTTTGCCAGTATTTTATTGAGGATTTTTGCATCAATATTCATCAAGGATATTCGTCTAAAATTCTCTTTGTTGGTTGTGTCTCTGCCCGGCTTTGGTATCAGGATGATGCTGGCCTCATAAAATGAGTTAGGGAGGATTCCCTCTTTTTCTATTGATTGGAATAGTTTCAGAAGGAATGGTACCAGTTCCTCCTTGTACCTCTGGTAGAATTTGGCTGTGAATCCATCTGGTCCTGGACTCTTTTTGGTTGGTAAGCTATTGATTATTGCCACAATTTCAGCTCCTGTTATTGGTCTATTCAGAGATTCAACTTCTTCCTGGTTTAGTCTTGGGAGAGTGTATGTGTCGAGGAATTTATCCATTTCTTCTAGATTTTCTAGTTTATTTGCATAGAGGTGACAATTTGTATGGAATTCAATATGAACAACTCAAAATCATGAAAGTGATTACATTTAGCTTCTGTTACAGTCACTAATTGTTCAACTTCTGCTCACATGACAACTGGTGGAAGTGATGCTCAGTTGGTTGGACCTAAATGACCTATAAGTGCAACAGGTGCTATTTATTAAAGGAAAGAAAAGGTTTTCCAAAAATCTCAGGTAGACCACACCCTGGGTTCAGCAAAGTCACATTTGGCTTGGAAGCTACATGTAATATACTCCTAAATGAATGAATAAATAAATGTACACATTACCAATAAGAGTAAGAGGTGACATCATGAAATATGTGGCATCACATCAAAAGGTATTGCAAACAAAACATTTAATCCATCAGTGGTTTGTTTTTCAAAACCTCCTTCTTCTCCCTTTCCTCATTCTAATTAATTGAAGTGATTGGATGTAACTATAGAGTAGTGGATGTGGTGGGCAGCCTCTAAAATGACATTCAGTGATTCCCACCTCCTCATCTTCATGCTCTTTTATAATTCCCTCCCCTTGAGTGTGGGTTGAACTAGTGACACAAGTGTAATAAATATAACATGGCAAAAGTGATAGAATGTCACTTCTAAGGTACGGTTACAAAAAGACTGTGGTTTCCATCTTGGGCACCCTCTTTCACTCACTCACTCTGAGGGAAGCCAGTTGCCATTTTGTGAGCTGTTCTATGCAGAAGTCTACATTGGAATGAATTGATGTCTCCATTCAACAGACAGTGAGGATCTGAGGGTTACCAGCAACCATGTGCATAAGCCTCAAATCAGATCCTCTTCAATTGAGGATCCTACTGACAACTAGATTTCAGCCTTGTGAGGGGCCAGAAGCACCCAGTTAAGCCACATCCAGATTCCTCATCCATTAAAACTATGACATGATAATGTTTATTTTTTACATCACTAAGTTTTGGAGTAATTTGTTACACAGAAATAGATAACTAATAGGCTAGGGAACAAAAAAATCTTAAGCCAATACTATACAATGTAATTTTTTTAAAAAAAATAAGTGGCAAAAATGATAGAACAATTTGGGCAACAAGATAATGTTGGACTAGATTGTAATGCAGAATTAGATTATGGACTGCATCAATATTGATATAAATGTATCAATATTGACTAATATTGATACAAATAAATGATTAAAGAAAAGAAGTGTAGAAAGAAGGAAGAGAGAGGTGGGGAGGGAGGGAGGGAGATAGAGCGTAAGGGAGGGACGGAGGAAAAAAAGAAAGACACCTTTTTTTACAGACAAATTGTAAATAATATATGTGGATATTTTCCCCACACACCCTCTCACAAAGGACATGTAGCTTAACCTCCTAGCTCCTACAGTATGTGCTGGGCTTAAAGACTGGCTTCCAAAGAATTGAGTATGTAAAAGGAAAATACAGGTTGAGTATCCTTTATCTGAAATGCTTCGGAATCTGAAGCGTTTCAGATTTCAGATTTTTTCAAGATTTTAGAATATTTGCATATACATAATGAGATATCTTGCAGATGGGACTTAAATCTAAACACAAATTCATTTGTGTTTTATGTGTACATTATAAACGTAGCGTGAAGGCAACTTTGTACAATATTTTTAGTATTTTCGTGCATGAAACAAAGTTTGTGTACATTGAACCATCAGAAAGCGAAGGTGTCACTACCTCAGCCATCCATGTAGACGATCTGTGGTTGTTTGGCATCATCACCCCTGACTCTAAATTTATATGCCACCAATAAGCAAACATTTTCTCACACTTATTCACATAGTACTTAACAGTAAAAAAATGATATAACATTAATACAGCATAAAACATAATGAGTTCACAATAACTAAGCAGCACAGTAGCATCAACAGAATACCCGTATCCTCTGTTAAACAACAGCAACAACAAACATCGGCAGGCTTTCAATCTCCACCCATGATGCTGTGTTTTGATTAAAAGGTTACTGTGCACTTTTTTTTTTTTTTTTTTTTGGTGAGAAGAAACATCTGAAGTAGCTGACAGACCAGGAAGTGGGTCCTCTGGGGAGAAGGAAGCATTCTGCCGAATGGCTTTTAAAAATGTTTCCTCCAGGCCGGATGCGGGGGCTCACACCTATAATCCCAGCACTTTGGGAGGCCAAGGCATACAGATCATGAGGTCAGGAGTTCGAGACCAGCCTGGCCAATATGGTGAAACCCTGTCTCTACTAAAAATACAAAAATTAGCTGGGCATGGTGGCAGGAGCCTGTAGGTCCAGCTACTCGGGAGGCTGAGGCAGGAGAATCGCTGGAACCTGGGAGGTGGAGCTTGCAGTGAGCCGAGATGGTGCCATTGCAATCCAGCCTGGGCAACAGAGCAAGACTCTGTCTCAAAAAAAAAAAAAAGAAAAAAAAAATGTTTCCTCCAAAGTCATCTGCCTCATTGACAACAGTTTTTGTCTTAAAAGTCTGTCTTTAATTTTATAAACTGACATGATTTCTTATTCTGCAATGAGTGCAGATTGCTCTAGTCCTTCAGTAAGCCCAACATGCATTTTCACCATGTCTATAGGCACTTTTCTGCAGTGTTAACAACATCATCTTCATCAACACTATTATCACAATCACTTTCATTCAGAACCATTTTGGCTATAGTCAATGAGTGAACAACTGGAGCCTCACAATCAATATTAAAAACTTTGATATCCACTTCTTCCAGCTTGCTGATGGACTCTGAAGGTATTTTTTTGCATATGTAAAGAGTTCAGAGATCATTTTTTCTTATTTGACATACAGAATTTTTCAAAGTTGTCACATTGTTCTCCACCACCACTAAACGTAGTCACAGGCCAGAGGTTGCGCCAGGCATATACAACTGTGTCTTTAGTCACTTTGTTCAAAGTGTTGGTAACAGCATATATGGACAGCATCCTTCATGCTAAACTGTTTTTGAAAACCTTCACACACTTGCCTCTGTTCACCACGCTACTATGCTGTTCAAGAAATGTATTTTTCATTGATCTAAGGATGCCCTGGTCATATGGTTGAATTAATAAATTACATTTGGAGAAAAGTACATGGCATAAACAACATTACTTTTGATGAAAATTTTAGCTGAAAGCTGAGCAGAACAGTTGTCAAGGAATAATACTGGCAGTCAACATCCAGTCCAGCTTCCCTACAGTGAGCTTCAGCCACTGGTACAAATTGTTTGTGTAACCAATGAGAAAAGATGTCCCTGATGATCCAGGCTTTTGGTTAGCATAATAATGAACTAGTAAGAAATTGACTCCTTGCAAACAGCAAGGACACAAGCTTTTGCCTACACAGCAAGTGTACATTTATGTGTGTGTGCTGCATTAACACATCCGAGCACAGATATTCTGTTCATGGTATCTTTCATTCCTCTAGGGGCTTTCTCATCAGCTGTAGTCGTTGTCTTTCTGGGTCAATAACATCAAAACAGTGATGTTTCATCAGCATTATAGATTTGTCCTAGTATTAGATTTTCATCAGCAACAACCTTTGGAAACTCGTCAATGAATTTCTCCACTGCTTCATGAGCAGCAGATGTTTTATTACCACAAATCTTTAATGCCAAGTCTTTTCTTCAATGTCTTAAATTTCTGCAACCAGCCTGTTGAATATTTACAGTTCCTTTCAACTTGCAGTTCGTTGTGATAGATCTTTGCTTGTTTCCTGATTACCATACCGCTAAGTGGCACATGTTCACTGCAGTGCTGATGGATTCACTCTGTTCACACATGATCAAGATCTTCATGTTCAGCTTTATGCAGTGTTTTTCTATTTCTCATTAACTTCTGTCCACCACTTTCCACATAGATCTTCAACAGTTTATCCTTCTGTTTCTTAGGTCATATGTGGTGGTCATTGCAATACTATACCCTTCTGTAAAATGTTTCACACTTATACTGCTACCTGGTCTCTTCAACAGCTTGACTTTCTGTGCTATGGATAAGTAAAAATGCTTTCTCTTTTCCTTACCACTGTTGCCCAAGGGGTATAAACAGGCGGTTTTTTTTTTTTTTTTTTGACATTTTCAACAATATCTTCACACCACAGAGCATAGAATAAGCAAAAAAAACACAGTAAGGAATGCACATAAATCTTGGCCTCACATAGGGCATTGGGGGGAACCTGCCAATGGCATGTCTGGCCTGCACATGTGCCATTTTATTACACTTCTTTTGTGTGCTTGCATGGAGGAAACTGGGCATGTACAGAAAATATATATTGCAGCTGAAGAGGGCTCAAGTCTCTTTCTTCCCTTTGGGATGCTGAATAAACTGTGTGTGATGTGATTGCATTTTGACCGGGACCTAGCACATAAGGACAGATATGAAATTTTTCACTTGTGGCATCATATTGGCATTCAAAAATTTCAAATATTGAAGTGTTTTGAATCTTGAATGTTTGGATTAGGGAAAGCTCAACCTATAGTCACTTTCCTGTAAGAAAAACTGGAAAACTCTACCTTATCTAAGTGGTCAAGATTAACATCACCAGTGATAAGTCATGTGGATAGGTATACTATATTCTCTAATATGATGTGATGAGAAGGGCACTTCACCTCTGTGATACTCTCTCCCATAACCCACAGCCTCGTCTAATCATGAGCAAAACAGCAGACAAACCCATAGTGAGGGATATTCTTCAAAATACCTGACCAGTACTGCTTAAGACTATCAAGATCATGGAAAACAAGGAAAGACTAGGAAACTATCACGGACCACAAGGAGACTGTGGAGACATGACAACTAAATGCAATGTACTACCCAGGATTGGATCCTAAAACAGAAAAGGGATATCAGTAGAAAAACTAGTCTTTTCCCTTTTCTCCCTGCATTTTCTCTTCAGTGTGTCTCTTATAAGGATACTTGTCATTGGATTTAAGGCCCACAGTGGACAACCCAAAATAATCTCATATTGAGATTCTTAACCTAATTACATTTACAAAGACCTTTTATTTTCAAATAAGGCCACATTCACAGACTCTGGGAGTTAGGATATGAACATATTTTGGGGGCCACAGTCCAGCCCACTACAGATGTTAACATTAGAAGGAAATTTGTAAAGCATATACAAGACCTTGCTATACACTCTGCAACTTTTCTGTACATCTGAAGTTTTTCCAAATTAAAAGGGATATTTTAAAAAATTAAAAATAAATACATATATGAGCAAAGTTCGCCTATGATATAAAAATTCAGAAACTCAAAGAGTAAAAGGAAGCCACCACAGATGGATATCTCTTTGTAGACAGCAAAATTGGAGGCAGCTGTTATCTATAAATTTGTAAAGAATAATACTTAGTAACAATAATACTGTAGAAAATACCTGAATTATATTCTGGTTTTCTACACATGTCTAAGCCACTAAAGACGAAAAACTATCCTGACTTTTCAAATATCTTCAACTAAACTTGAAGATAAAGGATGTAAAATTGTTTTAATGTTTGGTTACTATTCTTCCTTTTTTAAATTGCAGATTTGGAAGGAAGTCAACTACTGCAAAACTATATATATATATATATATATATATATATGCAGATTCAACAGCTCTTTCATTTGGAGTATGTGTCACATTACAGTAACTATATTATATATATATCTATATGCAGATTCAACAACCCTTTCATTCTGAGTGTGTGTAACATTACAGTAAAATTCCAAACTTTACAAAATTTTCTCTAATTGATTTAGTGCTTTGAACAAATGCAAGTTAAGTGGTTCCAATGGCTGGCATTTTCTCTATATTTATCAATAAAGTAATTGCTTCAGCTCAAACCTGTAATTTAAAAGCTTAAATTGATTAAGCAGGGTTGCCCTTCCTGAACATTTTTTTGGTCACCTTTCTGAGGCACATTTGTATCTAATAGATACTGATCTGAGGGTTTCTTTTACTTTCATTGGGTTGTTTTCCTTAATATTATAAAAAGATCTATTGTCTCAAATGGTCCATATTGAAAAGTGATTTGGGTTTATATAGAATTCTTATTCTTATGGTTAGAATTCTGTACCTTTTTGATGTTAGGGAAAGAGGTCTGCAGTTAGGTGACAACCAAATACCAAATATCAAACATGGAATATAGTAATGTCAGGTACCACAGCCCTAAGATCCTGGCTTGACTCTAGACCAAACCTTGCTGACCTAGAGGCCGAATGGCCACACTCTCTTTTCAGAGTCATCCAAGGCTAGCATGCAGATGAAGGCTAACAGAACAGAGGGGAAACTGATTCTCCAAATCCAAGATTCTGTGTGGCTCTGAACACAGAATGCACACCTTGTCTTAAAACAAATCACTTAAGAAACCTGTCAGGGAAAGTGTAATCCCAGTCTGGTCCCCACTGGTGATGAGAATACACTGCACTTCTTCCCATACCCCCATCTCATCCTGACCACCAGATTCCAAAATCAGAAACTATTCTGGTGTTTAAAGTGGCACATTTACCAAAATGATAAATAAAATGTGAACATTTAAGATATTAATGATGCTTTAAAACTATACATATCACCTTTTCCCCCAGTATTCAGCTTATAACTCATAAAACAATCTGCTTTCCTTACCAACCCATAGATATCCCTCTGCTTTTCCTCCTTTAATTCCCTGTCACTGTTTCCCTCAAACCATTTGAACACTCCCTTTTCTCATGTCTGTCTCCCAAAGGTGAGGTCCCAGTCATCTCGCCTCAAGCCAAACGATCTCTGAGATGTTCCAAAATGTTCAGTTCAGCTTGCCTTGTGTTACTTTCTGAAAGAAGTCCCTAGTCAGTTGCAGGAAGAAAGTTCCTGGCAGTTGCCTCCTTTTGTTTTCCACCATCTGTTTTATTCTGTACCCTCCTGATCTTGCTTTCTTCCCAGCAATTTGTGCATTTCAGTCACTGAATTTCATGAGATAAAGCTGCCTAGGTGACCACCCTCCTCCCCCAACAACACCGTGAGAACTATTCTAGAAGAATAAATGTAACACTCAGACTTCCAAGTGAGACATGAAAGGAGGATTTGAGCCGAATTATTTTTGTAGAAGCACAATGTGGGGCATTTGCTTAAGGAGCAATACCAGACTCTCTGTGCCTTGTCTCTCTTCCCCATATTTTACCCTTTTGAGTTTCTTTGGAGAAGGCTGGCTCTGGGATATGCACAGAGCCTTATACACTAGGTTCTAAGACTCCTCAACTTAAATAATAGCCACTTACCACTACTCCTCTCCTTCGAATCCCACGGGATGGAGTTCCACTGTCCTGCAGCTCTCTTTCTTCTGTCTGTCGACAGCTTTCTTTTTAGTGTATAGATCCTTTCATTCACCATCTTCTGGCTTCCCATTTGTCTGAAGTCAAGTTCCTGTAAGCACCATTTAAGAACTTCCTAGGTACTGCAAGTTATTTTAGCTAGTCTTCTAAAATAGCATCTGGTAATTCAAATGATACTGTGCTACAAGATGAAAATATGAACTTCATTTTATTGTGGATACAAATATGAGCAAAAATGCTTATGGGTGTGGGTCAAGAATATACTCATGGAAAGTTAATACCTTTATTACAACAAAGAACTTTTTTATAATAACTTAGAAGTCATTCAAAAGTAATCTAAGAACAGATTTATTTTAGAAACTAATTACACTGTGACATCTGGACTGCACAGATCAATCAGCAATATTAGAAAGAAGTGTTGAAAGAGAATGAGATTTTCGGTCAGAAGATTAAGGCCCAAATCCTGTCTCTGCTGCTTTCTAGCTTTATGACCTTGAGTAAGTTTCTTAACTTTTGAAGTGTATGCACATAATACCTTTCATAATAGAATAGTTGTGTTCCCATTGTTTCCATGCCTTTCTATATCCACTCTCCTTGACTTTTCAGTTCCTCTCATTAAGAATAGAGACTATTTCCTCATTCCTTGAAACTGGGCCAAGAAAATGCTTCAGAAGTAGTTGCGTGCCAGTGCCAAGAGTGAGCCATGAGAGGATTCACATGCCTCCACTCACTCATTTGGCACCTGCTTGAAACTAGCTAGGGTTAGCCTGCTGGAGAGGCAATATCCACTCTTGTGTGCCCAGGTGACCAAACTCTACACCTATGAATGAGGCCACCCTAGACTAGTAAGTCCTAGAAATCTGCCAACTTACCGCAGACTCGTTAGCAAGCCCATTTATGATCACCTGAGCCTGGTCCAGACCACAGTTACCCAACCAAGACAAAGACTTGTGAGTTAAACAAATTATTGTTTCAAGCCACTCAGTTTCAGGGCAGTTAGTCATACAGTTATAGCAAACTGATACAGGTACTACATAGGTTGTTGTGAAGATTAAATGAAAAAAATATGTAATGCACTTACTGCAGTGCCTAACATATAGTAGATTCTTAATGGATTGTTGCTACTTTTATTATCATCATACCAAAATGATCTGTTTTTATGTTAATGAAGTAATAGTTCATGACAGTGCTTTTTCTAATATTTCTTTCTGAAGGCTGTATTAGTCAGGATATAAATGACAAATACAAATCAACTTAAATTTTAAAAGGAGTGGTTCATTAGCACTGATGTCAGACAGACTGAGATCCAGACCTCAATATCACCATTTCTCCCCTATCTTCCCTGTCTCTCTTTGTGTTGGCCTCATTCTTACTATTGCAGACAGGCTTTCTCTACAAGAGATAAAGTCAGCCATCCTCAGCTATTCTTCTAGTGCCAGGAACATAGAAGCAACAGCAATTTTCCCTATTGACTCCAATATAGAAAAGTCCCAGACAAGGGCTCCAATTGGCCCAGCTTGAGTCACGTGTTAATACCTGAACCAACCACAGCAGCCAAGGAGGTGGGGCTCTCTGTCCACATCACTTCATGTGCTGACCCTGTATAAACAGGGAGAAAGCAGAGTCTGCACTGAAGACATAGAAAAGAAGGGGGAAATGTGCTCAGTTGCCAAAGACAATACTACCAGAAGCCTGGAATAATAAATTATGCTATGGCCACCCTCCAATTCACCCCTTATTATCACTGGACTGGATCTTTGGACTTGAAGCCTATAGTCCACTAAGGCAGAAAATAAACTGCCTTCAGAAACAGAATTCAGGGCTCTGTGCCTACTTTTCTCCCTATAATCATTCCTTAAAATTATTTTAACCACCCTGATATGGAGCAGCCCTGGGAATATGAGGGAAATCAACCCAATAGATATGTACTTTTAAGGAAAAGCATTTTATTATACTTAACTTCCCATTCTTTTACCAACATACAAATATTCTTATTGCACTCTCATAGAGCTTTTGGTGTTCTAGACACTGAGATTTTATTTTATTTATTTTGAGACAGTGTCTCACCCTGTTGTCCAGACTGGAGTACAGTGGTGCAATCACGGCTCACTGCAACCTTGACCTCCCAGGGCTTAGATGATCCTCCCACCTCAGTTTCCCAAGTAGCTGGGACTACAGGTGTGTGCCACCACACTCAGCTAATTTTTTGTAGAGATGAGTTTTGCCAAGTTGCCCAGGCTGGTCTTGAACTCCTGGGCCCAAGCAATCTGCCAGCCTCAACTTCTTAAACTGATGGGATTACAAGTATGAGCCACCGCGCCTGGTCTTGGTTGGATACAGAGATTTTAGAGGCTTTACTGGCCATGGCTGAATTTACACCTAATCCTCAAAGATGATATCTTTTGTGAGCTGGATCGTAGGATTGTAGAGATAGAAGAAAACCTAGAGGTCATTTATATCTAAATTGGGTGAAAGTAGCAATGACATCCCAGGTGATAGACATTGGGGCCATGGGTGTTGCAATTGTTGCTACTGCTGTTATAGTTGAATGTGTGACATAAATGTCACATGTATGAATATGTAATCTTGTGCCCATGCCCCACTTGAGGTTATAGCACCTAGAATTGAAAAGAGGGTAGTCCAGCCTGCAGGAGAAGAGGGAGGGGATCCCCTCACTCCTTTGCCATGCCACACTTTTTAATCAATGAAACCTAAGTTAACATTAACTTTGTTTAAAAAAAGTAAGTTAATTCTGGCTGTGCGTGGTGGTGACTCATGCTTGTAATCCCGGCACTTTGGGAGGCCGAGGTGGGCGTATCACTTGAGGTCAGGAGTTTGAGACCAGCCTGGCCAACATGGCGAAACCCTGTCCCTACTAAAAATACAAAAATTAGCCAGGCGTGGTGGCACAAACCTGTAATCCCAGCTACTTGGGAGGCTGAGGTGGGAGAATCACTTGAACCTGGGAGGTGGAGGTTGCAGTGAGCCAAGATCACATTGCTGCACTCCAGCCTGGGCAACAGAGTGAGGTTATATAAAGTGTGGTTCATCTTAATTTGATAACGGAGATTTTATGTAAAATCTCTTCTGCACCACCATTTTAGAGATCTTACTTGAAGTGCTGACTTGTCAATGACAGAGATACTGAAGAAACTGCTAAATGAATGCTATTTGAGATGGAGATTTTGTATTTTTATGAATCAAAATAAATAAATAAAAATAAGTTAACTCTGCTGACAGCCATTGTACACAACTGATTTATACTATCTTCACTGCCAACTACATTTCCTGTCTTCTTCAGATTTGTCACAGCTACTTATCCTGTATACATGCTATTGACTTTAGGACACATGTAGTGGCCTTTACATGTAGTCTCTTTAAAACAATTCTTGCTATACTACCAAGTTTAACCAGCCTAAGACTTAGGATCTTGATTTGACCATTTAATTTATTCTATTTAATTTCACATCATCCCAAATTTGATAAACGTGCATACAACATCCTCAACCAAATCACTGTAAAAAGAATTAAAGAAAAAGGCCAAGAACAACCCTAGACACATTCCTCCATTTGATATCAATCTATTAAATAGCTATTGAGACAATTATCAATATACATAATTACACTTACATCCCAGCCCCAATATCACTTCATCCAGAAGTGTATTATGAGAGACCTTCTGAAGTGCCTTGTTCAAACTCAGATTTCCAAGTTCTCTGCCCTTTCTAGGTCTGGAGGTCTGGACACCCTGTTAAAGAAAAAAGTTTGCTGTGACAAGTGTCAAACCCAATCTGGCTTCTCATGAAGTAGGTGCTACTGCCTCTAGGGACTACTCACCCATTCATCTGATAGGGTCTTACAGAATCGAGACCACATTCACTATTGTAGACCAAAGTTTATTGAAATTACTACTCCCCCTTTTTAGAAATGTCAAGCATCGCGATCCTCAAACTTCTGCCTTTCAGCCATTCTTGGGCTCACCATGATTTCTGGGAAGGTTTCATATTCTCAATTTCAAGTTCAGAAATATAACTCACCCATTTGACAGACTTCAGATCTCTAATGGAACAGCTGCAATTCTCTTTCAGTGGCTAAAACCAAATACTAACATTAATACATGAACAGCCCACTCATTAGAAACCCAGGTTTTGTGTTTAGTGCTGTTTGAGTAATTCTGTGTCCCACAGGAGCAGAGGATCTTCCAACGCTGTTTGCGCTCCCCAAAGACTCTTGCACCATCAAGCTAACAGCAAGGTTACTGACGGAAACAGATTTTTCTAAAAATATCCTTGGCAATGTGTGGACATGAAACACATGCCACATATATTTAGTCATAAAAATATAAAAAATTTATTTTTGTCTAGCAACTATTTATTTCCAGATGTGTGACTAAGCACAGCAACCAAATCATACCTGACTTAAAAAAAAATTAAGACCAGTCGAGCTGCCTAACCACAGAAGAAAGGTCTATTAATAATTTAACCCTCGTTGCTACTGGCAAGCTGGCTGCAGACTGAAGCACCAGCTTTATCCTCCTGGTTAGCTTAGAACATAGAGTCTGCAGTACAGGAATCTTACCACTCAAAGATGTTTCATACTTGTCTGAATTGGAATGCATAAGATGTAACCTTAACAGGTCTTTTCTATTAATTAGACGAGACTTTTATTTAAAGAAAAGCCTCACCTTGGAAAAACAAGTATGAAAAATATAAAAACCAGGTTTAAAACACCTGGAAAATGTGGTGATTCTACTCCAATATGACTATTCAGTTGTTCATTTATTCCAATTAAAGTGTAATCCTGTAATGTGTAAAGTGTAATGTGCTGCTCTAAATTAGTGTGGGTTTTGTGCTTGGCTTGTACTGCCACCTGGTGGTTTTCTACATGTAGTAACATCAGACCCAGGAATGTCTTGAATTAGTATTCATTTAGCAGTCTATTCAGTATCTCTGTCATTGACAAGTCAGCACTTCAAGTACGATCTATAAAATGGTGGTGGAGAAGAGATTTTACATAAAATCTGTGTTATCAAATTAAGACAAACCACACCTTATTTAATCACATCATTTTTATGTGAACACATTTAGCATAAAGATTAGCAAATCTGAGCCGGGTGCGGTGACTCACGCCTGTAATCCCAGCACTTTGGGAGGCCGAGGCAGGCGGATCACCTGAGGTCAGGAGTTCGAGACCAGCCTGGCCAACATAGTGAAACCCCTTCTCTACTAAAAGTACAAAAATTAGCCGGGTGTGGTGGCATGTGCCTGTGGTCTCAGCTACTTGGGAGGCTGAGGCAGTAGAATCACGAACCCGGGAGGCAAAGGCTGCAGTAAGCCAAGACTGCACCACTGCACTCCAGCCTGGGCAACAGAACGAGACTCTGTCTCAAGAAAAAAAAAAAAAAGATTAGCAAATCCATAATGAAAATTCCATAAGAGAAAAAAATTTAAGGGTAATTACACCCCCAAAATAAGAAAAAAATGAATGAAAAAGACAAGGCCTTTCCAAATATAGGCCTACCTGGCTTTTGATAAAAACAGGCCTAGCGCGGTGGCTCACGCCTGTAATGCCAGCATTACAGCATTTGAGACCAGCCTGGCCAACGTGGTGAAACCTTGTCTCTACTAAAAATACAAAAATTAGCTGGGCAAAATGGCACATGACTTTAGTCCCAGCTACTTGGGAAGCTGAGGCAGGAGAATTGCATGAACCCAGGAGGTGGAGGCTGCAGTGAGCTGAGATGGTGCCACTGCACTCCAGCCTGGGTGACAGAGTGAAAAAACAAAAATAAATTAAAAAATAAACGCAAACACCAGAAAATTGGGAGTTAAATAGTATTACTATAATATAATAGTATTACTATATAATATAATAATATAATAGTATTACTATATAATATAATAATATAATAGTATTACTATATAATATAATAATATAATAGTATTACTATATAATATAATAATATAGTTTAGTAGTATTACTATACAAAAGTAGTTTCCATAGGTTTCTTTGATATGTTTTAGAATTCATGTTTCTCTTTTGTGAAATGTCTCTTTTTGACTTTGGCTCTGATGATTTCCCAGTGTTCATATGGATAAATGTGAATATTTTAAAATTAGGGTTATATTTCTTTTAATTACATTTATTATAAGAATTTTACCAATTGATACATGGAATTTTCTTTAATTATTACTTTAGTGACAGAACAGTTTTAGATTTTCCCAAATCAAGACTACCAATTATTTTCTTATTCCATTTTTTTATTTATTTTTTAAATACATTTTATTCTGAAAGGTAATATTTGTTTTGAAAGGTAACACTTTCTCATGGTTCAAAAGGGAAGAAAAGTCTCTGTTACTTCATCATTCATTGTAACCAGTTTCTTGCCACCTCTGAGAAACAGCCATTGATTTTTATGTTTAGTAAGTTTTTTTTACAATAAAATATTTTCACTTAGCCTTTCTATCGTGATTTTTTCCATTTAATTTTTAAACTACATAGACATTATTTTGCTTTTTAATATCAAGTAAATCTCTTTTTTGTTTTTTCCAAATGGCAAATCACTGTTGCCAGCAATGTGTGTTGGATAAGTCCTCCCTCCTCTGCTGATTTGGGATATTTACTTTAAGACTAAGGTCCAGCATACACTAAGAACTGTTTCTGAGTTATATCTTCCATTTCATTGACAGGGAATGCCTGTGCAATTACCATGCTAATTTAATTATCTTGTAAAATTCAGAATATTTCATATCTAGTATTTTAAAAGGAGTTAATACTCCTTCACTACTATTTTTCTAAATTGTTCTGGGTGAATTTGTGCAGCAGCAATAGAAAAAGAATTGTTCTGGCTATTCTCATCATCTTATTATTTTAAACGAACTACTGAATATAATTTTGTCAGGTTCCCAAAGAATTAGATCAAGTTACTTTAAGAAAGAGACTCTGGCCAGGCACAGTGGCTTATGCCTGTAATCCCAGCACTTTGGGATGCTGAGACAGGAGGATCATTTGAGGTCAGGACTTGAGCCTGACCACATGATGAAACACTGTCTCTACTAAAAATACAAAAATATTAGCCAGGCGTGGTGGCACGTGCCTGTATTCCCAGCTACTTGGGAGGCTGAGGCAGGAGAATCGCGTGAACCTGGGAGGCAGAGGTTACAGTGAGCTGAGATCGCGCCACTGCACTCCAGCCTGGGCAACAGACCGAGACTCCATTTCAAAAAGAAAAAGAGAGACTTTGTGAGCACTCTAAATTATGAATTATTTTGGAAAGAATTGTTACGTTTATACATAGCTTGTTAGTTGAAAAAGCAGGATTAGTGATAAGCCCTTCTAATGTTCTTAAACTGGATAGTTTTTCAAGGAACAAATTGAAAAAACCTCAAAAGGTGCTTTGTGCCTGCAATATGGCAGTAGAGCTACGCAGAGAAATCCTATAATTCAGAACAAATAAAAATACTGGATAAAATATTTTAAAATATTGTTCTAAATGCGTGTCTGAGTTGGCTGAAAAATATGGGACGTCCTGAGAGGCCACAAATAAAAAATAACAGGAATCCAAAGCAAGTTCTGGAGCTGGGATTTGCCTGGGACATTTGCTCACCCCAGTGGCTTATTGCTTAGGCTTCATAGGGCCACTTGGGAGTTAGGAGATAAGACATGAGGCCTGTGCAAAATGTGATAGGATTATGACCCACGCATAACGTCTGTTCCCTGAAAGGTAACATCCTCAGTAAGTGAATGGAAAGGAGGGAGATCACCCTACAGAAGAGAAACAGTAGGGATGATTAGCCTATGTAGTATGAAAAATGATAAAACAGGGAGGAAAGTTTTCCTTGAAAATGACTAACACCAGCCCTCCCTCATGTAGGATGGGGTAAGAATTTACACTTATGTGTAGTCTGAGTGCTCCCAAGTCAGTGATACTCCAAGTACTCAGCAAAAACAAACATAAAGGCTTTCTAGAGGAACAGACTCAAATGGTTATCACAAATTAATTTCCAAACAACATCAGTTCACATTGAAAAAGAAAATGACAAACCCACGAGAAAATGGGCAACAAGTGACAGTCAGCTAAAACAGAGTTAGACCCTGTCAATCAGAGTATCAGAGTATTGAATAGTGTGTTTCATCTATTTCAAGACATAAAAGAGGGTGCATAACAAAAAAGCAAAAGATATCCTAAATTACCTACATCTTTGAAAAAAAACAAAGGGAACTCCTAGAAAAATAATGTATAATAACTGACATTAAAAACTCAGTATTAACAGCTGAAAAGAGAATTAGTGAGTTGGAAGATAAAGCTGAAGAAGACAAACACCAAGTCTCTGATTCAGGAATCCCAGTTAATCATAGCTAGGTTAAATAAAAAGAAACTCACATCTACTCATATTGTAATAAAATTCAGATCATCCAAGAAAAAGAGAAGAAAAGACAGATTATTTGGCAAGGAACAACCATTAGACTGACCTGTGACTTTTTCCATAAAATGTAAGGCATATTCATTTTATATATTCACTCTTATTATAGGAAGTAATAGTTTCAAAGTGCTGAGAGAATACAACCATTAATTTAAAATCATGTACCCAGCAAAATCCCTTTCAAAAATGAGAGTGAAACAAAGACATTTTCAGACAAATAAAGGCTATGAGAGTTTAGCATGAGTAGACCCTCACTAAATGAGCCTATAAGCAGTGTTTCTCAAACATTAATTTGCATATGAATCACCTGGGGGGTTTGTTAAAATATAAATTGCTATTCATTATGTCTGGGGAGGGATCTGAGATTCTGCATTTCTAATAAGCTCTCTAAGTGATGTTGATGCTGATGGTCGAAAGATTGCAATTAGAGTAGAAATATTTTCTAAAGTATATACTTCATTAAGAAAAAAATTATCTTGAATAGATGGTCTGAGATGCAGGAGAGAATGATGATCAAAGAAGTGGTAACCCGTAAAAAAAGTATTTAATGACTATAAATCGATAAGAATGTCAAATTTGTGAGTTTAAAAATATACAATAATAGAATTAAAATACTGAACAATAGCCCCTAAGTGGGGTAAAGGGTAGCTAGCATCAGACATTTCTAAGGTCCTTGTTTTTTTTTTTATTCAAGAAGAGGATAAATATATATTTATATATATTTGTATATTATTTTATTTTTATTTATTTTTGAGACAGAGTCCTGTTCTGTCGCCCCGACTGGAGTGCAGTGGTGCAATCTTAGTTCACTGCAGCCTCAACCTCCAGGGTTCAAGTGATCCTCCTGCCTCAGTCTCCAAAGTAGCTGGGACCACAGGTGTGTGCCATCACACCCAGATAATTTTTGTATTTCTTGTAGAGATGGGGTTTCACCATGTTGCCAAGGCTGGTCTCAAAATCTTGAGCTCAGGCGATCCACCTGCCTTGGCCTCCTGAAATGCTGTGATTACAGGCATGAGCCACTGCACCCAGTCCCATATTATTTTATATATTTAGTCTTTTTTTTTTTCTTTTGAGACAGAGTTTCTCTATTGTTGCTCAAACTGGAGTGCAATGGCACGATCTCAGCTCACTGCAACCTCCGCCTCCCGGATTCAAGCTATTCTCCCGCCTCAGCCTCCCTAGTAGCTGGGATTACAGGCACATGCCACCACGCCTGGCTAATTTATTGTATTTTTAGTAGAGACAGGGTTTCACCATGTTGGCCAGGCTGGTCTTGAATTCCTGACCTCAAGTGATCCGCCCACCTCAGCCTTCCAAAGTGCTGGGATTACAGGCGTGAGCCACCATTCCCAGCCATATTTAGTCTTTCTTGAGTTAGATATGCAAGTTAAAATTTGAGAATTCCTGAAAAACTATAATTTGGCTACATATAACTTCCATACTATGACAGGAGAAAAATATTAAATAAAAACAATTTTTAACAAATCCAATACAAGACCAAAATATAAAAAAAGAAAAGAGAAAAAAAAACATAGAAGAAAGAGAGATGAAATGGAAGAACAAAATAAAATGGTAGAAATTAAAACAAAGGTATAATATTTACATTAAATAAAAGTGAACCAAATATTCTAAGTAAAAGATTATAAAACAGAATCTTTTAAAAATCCAATCTTATGATATTTACATTACTGCTATGGTCTGAATGTTTATGTCCCTCCAAAATTCGTATGTTGAAATCTAACCTCCAAGGTGATGGTATCAAGAAGTGGAGCCTTTGGGTGGTGATTATGTCATGAATGGGATTAGTGCCCTTATAAAAAGGCTTGAGGGAGCCTGTTAGCCCCTTTCACATTGTAGGGATGCAGCAAGAAGGTGCCATCTGTGAGGAATGGGCCCTCACCAAACACTGTGGCACCTTAATCTCAGATTTTCCAGCCTCCAAAACTGTAAAAAATAAATTTGTGTTGTGATAAATTACCCAGTCTAAGTTACTTTGTTATAGCAGGAATGGACTAAGATGACAATGACATAGCTATACTATAAGGACACAAAAATGGAAAGTAATAGGAGGAAAAAAGATAAAGCACACTAATACACACCAATAAAAGTTCATGTGAAATCATGAAGAAAAAAATTCTCGAAGCAAAAAAAATTACCAGATTCAAAGATTACATATTAATGGAAATTTAATTATCTAGGAAGATATATCAATTGTATGAATATGGATGCAATATAATAACATAATTTCAAATATATACAGGGCCAGGTGCAGTGGCTCATGCCTGTAATCCCAGCACTTTGGGAGGCTAAGGCGGGTGGATAGCTTCAGTTCAGGAGTTCGAGACTAGCCTGGGCAACATGGTGAAACCATGTCTCTAATAAATACACAAACATTAGCCTGGCATGGTGTTGTGGGCCTGTGGTCCCAGCTACTGAGGAGGCTGAGATGGGAGGACTGCTTGATCCTGGAAGGTGGAGGTTGCAGTGAGCCGAGATCAAACCATTGCACTCCAGCCTGAGTGAAAGAATAAGATCCTGTCTCAAAAATTTAAAAAAAAAGAAAAAGAGGCCGGGCATGGTGTCTCACGCCTGTAATCCCAGCACTTTGGGAGGCCAAGGCGGGCGGATCACGAGGTCAAGAGATGGAGACCATCCTGGCCAACCAACATGGCAAAACCCCATCTCTACTAAAAATACAAAAAATTAGCCTGGCATGGTGGCATGCGCCTATAATTCCAGCTACTCGGGAGGCTGAGGCAGGAGAATTGCTTGAACCTGGGAGGCGGAGGTTGCAGTGAGCCAAGATAGCGCCACTGCACTCCAGCCAGGGCAACAGAGCAAGACTCTGTCTCAAAAAAAAAACAAAAGAAAAGAAAAAGAAAAAATATACATATATATATAGAGAGAGAGAGAGAGAGAGAGCAAAAAATGACAGAAATACAAGGAGACATTAACAAATCCATATCATAATGGGAAACCTTAAAACACACAATAGCTGATAGATCAAGCAGATTACAAATCAGTAAGGATATAGAAGATTGGAATAATATGGTTAATAAGCTAGATCCAAAGGACATATTATGGAACACAGCATACAAGTAGAGACCACAGAATATTTATAAAAAGTAACCACCTATTATGACCCAAAACAAATTTCAAAAAATCAAAATCTTATAGTTTTATTACTTATTATTTATTATTAAAAATAAATAACAAAAATATAACTTACATTCAAAAAGACTCCATACAGTGAAAATTAAAAATGTATCTCTAAATAACTCAAAAGTCAAAGAAGAAAATGCAAAAATACTTAGAAACAGATATGTAGCTGGCACACACCAATATGGCCAAGTTAATTGGTAAAACATTGAAAAACATTTAAATATATTGGGAAGTACTGTAATAATAAGTATTAGAAGAGGTAAAATTAATTAATAATGTAAGTGTGGATATAAACTGGCTAATTTAAACTACATATACAATATTGCAATCCCCAGAGACAAGTGGATCTTCCACTACTGCGGCATTAGAGAGCATTCACAACACTATCCTCCAGTTCACCTGACTCATAGTAAGCTTTCTAGCACCAGTGAATACACTCTGTACAACGCACTCAGGGCTTTACGATGATCATTAGGTTTTCATTTTGCTAAAATTATATAGTTCCCACTACTTATAAATGTATTTTTTGTACTTTGGACATATGCATGTGCACTGTAATTCTTGTGTAAGCAGTAATTGTTCAGCATTTTGATATTTAACATTCAATAATTTACGCAATGATTTTAAACATTATCTTAAAATCAAATGCCCACAATAAAGAGATAGTTTTTTCTTCAATACTCTTTTTACATATAATTTACATGACTCTTCTAAATCTCCAGGGAAATTTTAAAAGACATGATATTAATAATGAGGCACAGCATGAAAAAATTATATTGTGCAAAAATTGGAACAACATGGAATGTCCATTTTACACTGTGCAAGCATAAATAGCCCCCACAAAATTTTTTTAAATCTGAAATAAAATATAACTTAATTAACAAATGTGGAGTGATTCATCATTGCTAAAGTGACATAAATGCTGGACATAAATTGTGCTAACAGAAAAAGTAACATCAATACAGTTTAAAATACTAAATAATTACTAATAAAATTCACAATCCTCTGGCACACATTAAGAATGAAAAATAAACATACCTGAAAGAAAAGCAGAGATTTCAAAAGATAATCAGATACTGTAAGGAACAACTTCCTAACAACAAATTTAAAAATGTGCAGGAAATGTATACTTTTCTAGGAACTTTAACTTAACAAAACTGACCAAAGAACTAGAACACCTGAATGGTCCTATGTCCATTAAGGAAACTGAAATCAGTAGTTTAAAATTGTCCCACAAAGAAAATACTAGACTTAATCTTAAAAGTGGAATTTTTTAATTAAGAAAAAGAATGCTGACATTACACAAAAACTTTCAGGTAAGAGAAAAAGAGGAATAGTTCTTCAGATTACTTTATAAAGCTAGTACAGGCATATTCCACAGATTTATATTTTCCCAGAAGTTACCTCTTGTATTTAGGACCACAACATCACAAAACATATGTATCTCTCAAACAACATTTCAGATGATATTTACATAGAAAAAAATTATATTTTAGCTCCCAAAACTCAATGCAACATTTTTAGCAACAACCAAAAAAAAAAAAGTGTATCAAATGCTTTGAGATACATCACAAACACAATTAGTAATATGACAGCATCATGTGTCAGCATATCCAAAAGCATCCTGAATATCAGTGACAGGGATGTTCCACACAAATGCCACTGATGATACAAGAGGCATTACTGTATCATCCTCAGTGTGAATCATTCTCTGACACATTTCTAGAGTGACTTTCATATTTCTTCCCCACCACCACATCTTCCTCCCTAATTATAACAATGAGACTGAATAAAAGTCAAGAAAGTGTTAAAGAACTTTATAGAAAAGGAAGCAAAACAAGCAGAAAAGCAATTACAATGAAAGAAACTATATTACAGCTAACAAAGCAATTATTTGTCAACAACTATATTATTTGGGGGCCAGGAAGCAAATTTAATATAGGTTTACCATATTTTACTTACATTTTAGGAAATTAGTTTGGGTTCACAAGTAATCCATTATAATTTTGCCATTTAAAATAAAGAGAAATGGGCTCTGTTTTTGATCAGAACGTCTGATTTTCAGAAACAAATTATTAATGTTAAGTAGATATGTATATAATTTTAATATCAAATTTTTAAAACAGTATGAAAAAAATAACTATAGTCTCATCCATAAACAGAACTGCAGTAACTCTAAACAGAATACTTTTTGAAATGACAAGTTTTGTTTCTTCCAGAAATGCAAAATTGGTTTAATATCAGAAAATGTATTAATGCAATTCACCATAATAACAAAAAAAGAACCCATATGTTCATCTCAATAGAAGCAGAAAAAATAATAAAATTCAACATTCATTCTTAATTTAAAAAAAACTATTAGCAATGTAGAAATAGAAGGAAACTTCCCTAACCCAACAAACAATAAGAAAGGCATAAAAATGACACACACACCATACACACATGCTGAAACATTAGGAGTATTGGCTCATGCAATTATGGTAGCTCAGAAGTGCTAAGATGCTGTCTCTAAGCTAGGGGCCCAAGAAGGCCAGTGGTATAGCCAGAGAGCAGGTGGTGTAGATTCCAAAGGCCTGAGAACCAGGAGAACTGAGGGCAGAAGATTAACGTTCCAGCTGATAGAGTCAGGCAGACAGCAAGCGAATCCTTTCTTTATCCCGTTTTTTGTTCTATTGAGGCCCTCAAAGGATTAAGTGATGCCACCCACATTGAGGAAGTACATCTCCTTTACTCAGTTTATTGATTCAAATGCTAATCTCCTCTGGAAACATCCTCAAAGACACACCCAGAAATAATGTTTAGCTAGATGGCTGAAGATCCTGTGATCCAGAGTTGATACATAAAATCGACTATCACACATACCATTTTCATATAGATGTCAACTCTCCTTCAGTTGATCACAGATCCAATGCAATTCCAATAAAAATCCCAACAATCTTTAGATTGTGAAGTTCAGTGAAAAGATGATGAAATATGGCTTTAGCAGTACAATCCTGAAGACAAGCGTAATCAAACAATGACTACCAAAAAGGAGAAGGAGTCCAAGTGAACCAGTTCAATTCATTGAACTTTACAATCTAATTCTAAAAACTATGTGCAAGAGAAAAGGGACAGTAATAGCCAAGACTTCCCTGAAAAAGATCATGGTGTCTGCGTGGTGATATGGATGTGGGAGGGCAGGGTATTTGCCCCGAAAATATAAAGACATTATAAAAAATATAGTAATTGAGACAGCGTAATATTGACACAGGAGAGACAAATAGACCAGTAGGACAGAATAGAGAGTGCAAAGGTACATCCATGCAAAAAGAAAAAAAAAAAACAACCTGATCTATGATGATGGTGGCATGGTAGATCTGTGTAGAAAGGATGGGCTATTGATAAACCACCTTAGAGCAACTGGTTATCCCTAGAACTCACTATAAGCAAAAGTCAGCTTTATATGGATTAATTATTTTAAAATGAAATGTGCACAAGTTTGTCTGCAAAATCTCGTTTCCACTCCTAATGAGAAAATCGAGATGGGACAAGAAATGGTGGAGTAACAAATAAAGCTCACTTACTCTCTACCCCTTATAGGTTATATTAGGTTTCTCTTGCTACCATAACAAATTAACACAAATTTAGTGGCTTAAAACAACATACATTCATTATCTCACAGCTCTGTAGGACAGAAATCCCTGCTCCTTTGCTGTCAGCTGAGGGTTATTCCCAGGTACTAGAGGCTGCCCATATTCTTTGGCTTGTGGCCCCTTCCTACATCTTCAAAGCCAGCAATGGAGGGTTGAGCCCCTCTCATGTCTATTTCTCCTGCCTTCCCTTCTGCCAAATCTCTAACTCTTCTGCTACCTTCTTCCATTTTTATCCCCCTATCTCAAGGTTCCTAATATTAATCACATATGCAAAGCCCCTTCTGCTATGTAATGCACCATATTCACAGGTTCTGAGAATTAGGACATGAATATCTTTTGGGGAGAGATTATTATTCTGCCTTCCACACAGGGAAACCCAGGTTGCTTCACATTTGCACTACCACTGTGTGGCTTGAACATCCTTACACAGTGCCTCAGCCCAGCAGGCAAGGAGGAAGCAGAGACTAGGTAGAAAATATCCACTATCTTCTTCTCATGTCCTTTCTGCTTACCTGTACTTAGTAATTGGGTTTTCTGTACCAGGATTCAGGAGGCTGAAGCAGACAGGGGAGAGGAAGGATTTTGAATTGATTTCCTAAAACCTAACACTGATCCAGTAATTGGAACAAATGCCTTCCTCTGCCTAATTTTGGAAAGTTTAGGGAAGAGATACAAAGGGAAGAAGAGAAAAGAGGAAAGTGGGAGCAATAATGTAAAGCCATTAGAAGAAAAACAGCATGTTTCCCCCTTTCATAAGAACTCAATACAAGAAGGTTCCATATTTGGGGTAGGGGTAAAAGAGAGGAAATGTCTAGCTCATTTGAGTCATTTATTAGATGTCATTATGTACCACACACAATGCTACGTGATTCCACAAACCTTTCATAATTCTTTAAACTAACCCATATAGTACATGTGTGTAGTTATTACCTTTAAATGAGGAAACTCAGGCTCACAATGGTGGTCACATACCTAAGGGAACAAATATCAGAGGTAGATATAAACTAAACCTATATATGCTGGCTGCCCCAGTCCAAGAAAATTTCCTCTCTCTCACTGCATTAGTCCATTCTCATGCTGCTGCCAATCAAGACATACCCGAGACTGGATAATTTATAAAATAAAAAGGTTTAATTAACTTACAGTTTAGCATGGCTGGGGAGGCCTCAGGAAACTTACAATCATAGCGGAAGGGGAAGCAAACACATCCTTTTGCACATGGCAGCAGGAAGGTGAAGTGCCAAGCAAAGATCTGGTGAGATCTCCTGAGAACTCACTCACCATCACGAAAATAGCATGAAGGTAACCAACCCTATGATTCAATTACCTCCCACCAGCTCCCTCCCACAACACCTGGGGAGTATGGGAACTACAATTCAAAATGAGATTTGGGTGAGGACACAGCCAAAACATGTCACTGACTTTCCCTAGCAAGAAGGCAAGACTAAGGCATGTTATAATCCCCACACTGTGCCTTTCGCTGTCTTTAAAGGACAATCTTCGTGTTACTGCCTTCCTTCTGCAAACTTCCTTTTGCCCCAGATGTTACAGTGACTTCCTAATGAAGTCTGGAGTTACTTACCTTCTTGTAATAATTATACATTTACTAATTCTGTACAGTCATTTTCTCCAGATTGATTTGGTTATTATTCATGCTAGTCCTTGTGTGATGACCACTGGGCTGTGAGCCTGAATTTTCTTTTTTTTTTAAACCACTTTATTGAGGTATGATTGAGATACAAAAAGCTGTATTTAATGTATATAACTTGATGTGTTCGGAGATAAGCTCCTTTTCTTCTCTTTCCTTCTTTCTTTTATAGAAGTAGGCTTCAAAGAAACAACGAAAGGTGCTAAAACTGGTCTCTGGATGAATCTCTGCTAGGACTTAGAGAAACATGGAGACCTAGTTGTTATCATACAACTTGTCTTGCTGCCACTTGTCCTGTCCCTTCAAGGAGTTATGGTTATCAGGAAAAAAGCCAATTAACAAACTCTGCTTAATTTTTGTGGTGATAATTAATCAACTCTAAGATTTCAGCATAAAATCCCAACACCTTGCCCTGTGTGACAAGACCCTAAGTGCCTTGCTCCTGCCTGGCTCTCCAGCTGCATCTTGTCACTCTACACTCCTTACTCGACTCCAGCCACACTGGCCAAGGCCTGCTGTCTCCAGATCTTGCATAACCGCCTTCACACATCTGCTCGGAGTTCACTTCCAGTCTTCCTATTCCTAGCCCCATGAGCTACTGAACACTTGAAATGTGTCTAGTCTGAACGGAAATGTGCTGGAAGTATAAAATATACACCGGATTTTTATGACTTAGTAGATATAAAAGAAATATCTTATTAATAATCTCATATTGATTGCCTGTTGAAATATTTAAAATATGTTGGGTTATTATTAAAATTAATTTGATCTGTTTCTTTTTACTTTTTTTTTTTTTTTTTTGAGACGGAGTTTCGCCCTTTTGTCCAGGCTGGAGTCAAGTGGCATGATCTCGGCTCACCGCAACCTCCACCCCCACCCCGCCCGGGTTCAAGCCATTTCTCCTGCCTCAGCCTCCCAAGTAGCTGGGATTATAGACGCCCGCCACCAAGCCCAAGTAATTTTTGTATTTTTAGTAGAGACGGGGTTTTGCCATGTTGGCCAGGCTGGTCTTGAACTCCTGACTTCAGGTGATCACCTGCCTCAGCCTGCCAAAGTGCTGGGATTACAGGCATGAGCCACCGCGCCCGGCGTTCTTTTCACATTTTATGTGGCAATTGGAAAATTTAAAATTACACTCATGGCTCACACTGTTTCCATCGGACAGCGCTACCCTATGGCATGACCCTCTTTTGCTGCCCTCCTGGCACTTACATTGTAGAATTTCAGCATCCGGGCTCACTTGGTCAGTGGCCTACTCACCCAAGCAGAATGTACCACAGAAACCTTGCCTGGCTCACCCACACCTGATTCCCAGGCACTCAGGCCAGGGCCTGGAGCATAGTAAGTGCTGACTAAATATCTTTCGAATGAATGACTCTACTCTTCCTCAGCTGGACTCATGAATTCTGTCGGGTCCCAAAATACGTGGTCTAAAGTCCTTTGGGCTCCTGCCGCTGCCAGCACTGATCATATGCTCTTGACCCTGGTCGGGTGGGGGGATGTCTGGATACCTCCTCTGTGGAAAGAACTGGCCACACATCCGCAGAGGTGACTCGGGCTGAGAACCCAGGCTCCTCCTCCCTTTGGTGACACGCCCCTCGGTCCCTCACTGGCACTTCTCCCTCCGGCCACACGGCGGCGTCTCGCCATAGCGCAGCGGCCGATGGTACAGCCCGCTCCCCCCTCGCGCTCTCGGACAGTGGGTCCTTCCACTTGTAGAAAAGCATTGTGGGACGGAAGCCTGTCCTTTCTTCCTTTTGGTGCGAGCTTGCTGTGGTTTTTGCTCTGGGTCCTCTGGGATGGCGCCTGGCTGTGGCCGCGTGGTCTCTCACGCAGGGGCGCCGGGCGGGGGAACGCGGCCACCCTGAGTCTGGTGAGTCGACTGCGGCGGCCTGTGTCCGAAGTGTCCGGGGCCGTGAACAAGGGCAGCGGCCTGGCCTCAGGCCTGCGTTCCCACGTTTGGAAACGGGGAGCTTCGTCGATTTGTGTTTACATCATCGACTATGCCAGGGAGTTCTCCAGATAAGCCTGGTTTTATTTTCGTCAGTGAAAAGGCCTTACCGTATAACTGACTTTATGCTTGCCCTGCCCCCGTATAAAATAACTTAAAAGCAGCGTGCCTGGTTACAGCTGTTTCCACGTGCGGTGCTCGTCGGGAGTGATCACCTACCCTACAGGTGAGTTTTCACGTTCGTGCAAGACCAGTCGCCATTTAAAACGCATCGCATTTCACTTTTCATTATTAAGTCGGATTTTAAATCGTGAGAAAATTTCTCTGAAATGTATTGTCCGTTTTTAGGCTGTAATCGGCATTACTGTCAGCCAGTCAGCAACCTTATGCCATAAAGCCTACCTCACGCAGTGTCAGCCTTTGTGTTGCCCATTCACTTTGGAAACTAGTGAATGTGGTGTCAAAAAAGGCGTAAATTAAACGCTTTGCAGCCTTTTCCTGCCCTTAAATTTGATACCTTTGGTGTAGGAGCTGCATAAGTAACAGTTGCTGCTTTTACGTTTCCACGCGTGATCTTGACCCTGCTAGCCTTAAGTGTATGGTTTCTCTTAGCCAGTTCTAATTTTTGTTCAGGTGGAAGATGGATGCCTGAAGTGTAGACTGCTGCTAGCTGAATACCATCTGGGAGCATAAAGGTGACCTGAAGGTAGGGTGATATGTCTTAAAGCACTTTGTAATGGGAATTTTTATCACCTTTTAAATTGGGGTTCCTTCTCTAGTGAGTTTTAATGTCAGTGGTACATTCGTAGTGTTGCTCTGTCTGTAGCTATTAAGGTGAGTTAATAAATGGGATAGCCTCCACAGCTTATTTTTGGGAAGGTTTTGCTGATACTTCCTGAGAAGCCCAGGGAAATAAATACGCATAGTACTGGCATTCTGCATCTCTTTAAGATTTGTTTTTATGTGTAGTAATTGAGTTTTTTAAAAGCTTGTGAAATCGCAGGCATATTACCAAGTTCTTGATTAAAATGTAATACAAAAATATTTGCTGTCGAATTGAGTACTTTATTTTTTCTCTTAGGATGTCCTTGGTGAGGATTTTGAAAATTTGATCTTCACAAGAGTTGCCTGGATCATTTGAAATTTCTGGGAGTCTGAGGAGTACTGACATAATTACCTGCTGGAGTCTGTAAATACACATTTAAGACAGTGAGGATGTGAATAAATATATTAATGCACTTTGGCATTTGTGTTTTAAGTGATTAACTGCCAGAAACAGCTATTTCTAAAAAGTTATAAGGGAGGAGGGGTTCTTTTTTGATCAGTATTCACTGCTGTCACCATAATTAATAGCCTTAAAATAGCTTGTGTTTGGCCCAAAGAGAAATGTACTTTCTTCCAGTGACTCAAAAATCGTGGCTAGAACTAGACTGATTTCTAGTGACAGGTGTGCTTTACTGCACTCAATGCGTATTTTTCCTCCAACTAAATTGTACATTTAATGTTGCCATATCTTCTGCCTTTGCTTTGCAGGAAACGACAAATAATGTATAGAGGTATTCAAAAAATTTATTGAAAGCACTGTACTAGGAGCTGAGAACACGATGATGAGCACAACACAGTTCTTCCCTTTGGAAACATAGATAAGTGGAGGGAATGTCATCACAAATGTAAAACTTCACTATGAGATGAGTTCCGTGATAGGATTTTCTTAGGGAAACCTGAGAAAGAGTTGAGACTAAAGGTATGTGTCATATTTTTCACAAGGCAAAACTGGGGGAATGACATATACAGAGGCTTGGGCTAGAAAAAAGATACCGTTAGTCCACTTACTTTTGAGACAGTTTTGGCTGCTTTCCCTCTTCAGTGCCCTGTTTTAGAACTGAGTCCTTACTGAGGCTTGTAAGATGGCTATTATGGGAGGTGAGAGTGTTACAAAATGAGGCTGAAGAGGTAGGTAAAGAAGCCAGACCACTTCAGGCTCCCTCTGGCTTTATTAAAGCAAGATAAATCCATGGTGGAAAATCAGATTTGCAAGAAAAGGTAGTTGAACTAGGTTGCTTATTGTTGTCTAGACAAGAGACCAGCTTGGACTAGTAAAATTAGTGAAATAAGATCGTTTATAGTTGGATGACAGAGCCAACTAGACGTGGTAATAGTGGAGGTGTCCATAACTGCTAGGTGTCCAGCTTGCACACTGATGAGCATAATGACCCTAGATTCAGCTGGGGAGCAGCATTTAAACAGCTGAATTTTTAAATTACCTTTGAGAAACCCAAATGGTCTTTTTGCAGTAGCACATTACTCAGTAGTCTAAACTACAGAAATAAACCTTAAGGCCATGGGTATAAATGAGATCTGCTGGTGGTAGAGGAAGAGGGCCTAGGGTCTGAAGTTTGAGAAACTCCACTAATTAATGGCAAGGTAAAGCATGATAAGCCAGAAAGGATGGTCAGTGGTAGGAGCAAAATAGGATTATATTAAAGAAGCAAAAGAATGTCCTAAAAATTCTCCCTGGGATTAAGTAACACAGTGATTGATATTAGTGGAGTAGAGGGAAAGATCCATGTTAGAGATAGCTTAAGATAGGGATTAGATGAATTGAGGGCAATGACTAAAGATACTGCTTGCAAGAAAACTGGCTGAGAATGAGAGGAAAATCTTAGTTGCTTGGCGGGAGGGGGTTTGTGGTTGTGAAAGATAGTTTTGTTTAATCTTAGTCTTAAATTTAAAACCAAGTAGCAAGGATCTAGCTGAGAGAATAATTGAATACATTAATATAGGAGGACAGACAAAGATCCTGAAAAGGCTGGGAGAAGAGCATCCAAAGCACAGGTGGAGAGACAAAAAGGTTAGGGCTGCTGGCAGCTGTGGAGAGAACTGTACGTGGTAAGGGGGAGATATAAGATGTCCTGCATAAGTATTTTCCCTGTAGATTGCAAAGTCATCTATGGAGAGGAAAGGTACAAAATAGTCACTGGGGAGAGCAGGTGAATTAGATGGCCAAGCAGGGTGGATGGATCATTTGAGGTTTGGGGTGACAGATCAACTGAGATCCACTTACACTTCTGAAAACGCAAGAACACTTTAGAAATTAACAACACTTAAAGCTTTTTACATCATTTGTAAATAACTGGTGGAACTTAACACCACAAAATAAAGTATTATAAAGAACTTTATATGAATAAAAATATATGCAGTCTGAAAGTGATGCCTCAGTCCTTTTGCATCTGGGCACTAGTTGAGAACCAGCCCAGCCCTGGGAAGACGTCCTCCCACTTGTACTATTGCACAGCAGGCTAGCTGCAGTTCAGAATTCCAGAATGTTCATCAGATGCATCTGGTCTTGGTTGTGGTGGACACAGACACAAGATAGAAATGAATGATTGCTATCCTGTTCCAGAAATGAAAATGTGGTATCAAGTGAATTTTTACAAAATACTTATTCTTCCAGTTAAAACAAAAAGGTCCTTCAGCACAACTGTGCTGTAGTTAAACCATGGCCTATAATCCCAGCACTTTGGGAGGCTGAGGCAGGCGGATCACTTGAGGTCAGGAGTTCGAGACCAGCCTCCAACATGGCAAAGCCCTGTCTCTACTAAAAATACAAAAAGAATTAGCCGGGTGTTGTGGTGCACGCCTGTAATCCCAGCTGCTCGGGAGCCTGAGACAGGAGAATCGCTTAACCCAGTAAGTGGAGGCTGCGGTGAGCTGACACGGTGCCGCTGCACTCCAGCCTGGGCGACAGAGTGATAACATCTCAAAAAAAAAAAAAAAAAGAAGCAAAAGATAATGTATTTTCTCATGCTGAAGAAATACTTGCAGGTCTGAGATTTGAATTAAGATACCTATTTCACAGTTTCAAAAGTACCAGTGGCGCACACAACCTTCCCACCCCTACCCTTGACCCTTCATCAGGATCAAGTCTCTGTCTTGAGGCGGGAAGCTTGTATAGTTTTTATTGTTTTTGCTGTGTGTTTTCCAGCCAGGTTGTTTGTAGATGTCTGAGGTTTTTCTTCCATCAGGCTATCTTTAGACCCATTTCTTCTCTAAAATATATTTGAAAAATGTAGAAAGATTCAGAAGAAAACAGCCAAATGAAGTATTTTAATTACATCAGAAACCAAGCTGCTCTTAAATTTAAGATACTGAGTTAATTCAAAAGTTTCATAATACCAAAAGCTATTCAATAAATGTTCCCTCTAAATAGCTGTGCAAAATAAAGTTTGTATTTAAACTTTAATATACAAAGTTAGTCTGACATTTACATGCATAACGATTTTATTCATGAATATTAGGCATAATTCACCCAAATCAGTGTCATTACTTTTGTTAACAATTCCCAAACCAGGCTCTCAACCTCACTCTTCCAAACAGGATAGTGATGGAGACTTGGAGGCAATTTATAATCCCCTGATTATATTTTCAGTAGTCAATGAATGGAACAATGTCTTGTGAGCCCCTATCACTTGTCTCATACGGAGAAACAGGGCAGCTCATTACCAGAGCCTGGGCACCACATCCACTAGTTTGTAAAACTTAGGTTTTACACATCTCCCATCATCACTGGTGGAGGCTCTGAGAATGACACTAACTCACAACTACTACTTCTTATGCGAACCCCTCCTCCTCTTACTTCCAAGGATGGTCTAACATTGTCAGTGTATCAGGCTGGCAAGCATATTTCCTTCCCCAAATGTATATTCCCATAAATAATGGGCTATACCGTCCCAATCTATTTTGAGATTTGTTTGAGCTAAAAATAAATAAATCCCTCTTAAAATGCAGCTACCTTTAATCTGTTCCTATGACTGGCTTAATTTGTTTTACTGACATTCAAAAAGCACTGATGGAATAATTATTCTGCCTATCATGGGAAGCATGAACCCATCTATTTGGGATGGAAGATTTCTAGATAGCCAGAGGTGGGAAGAGAACACCAGTGAATGTGAGAGGAGAATACAGCAGAAGAATTACCAGAAAAAAAGTGCTAGGAGAGGACCTGAAATAAGTACTATGTTGTAAGTTTGTCTAGGATTGAATCTGTCCACTCTGCAGACCTTAAGAAATTAAGTTGCTATTCTTCCCCATTCTTAGCAGCCTTTGCGTGAAAAGGCAAGGTGAGGTGTAAGGCAGGTCACTGCCAGAACTCTGGTGGCATTGTGGTGGAAATTAGAACTTAAAGTTGTACCTTAAAAATGTACCTTTCCAGCTTCCACTGGTCACTCCAGCCCCTTCTCCGCTTGGCAGCCAGATGAGTGGCTTCCTTTTAGCACTTGGAATAAAACAGTAAGATCCAAACGCTTCCCACAGCCTTTAAGTCCCTGTGTTATCTGCCTTTCCCCTCAAGCTCACTGCATGTTGGTCTTTCAGCTCCTCAAATACCCAGGCCCTCTCCAGAGTCAGCATTTTCCCTACATTCCTCACTCTGATTACATCAGCCTTGCAGCCACTCACATGGCTAGCTCCTCACCTGCCAGGTCTCAGCTTTAAATGCCACTCTCTGAGATGGCCTCTGACCACCCTAAACATGTAAAGTGAGGTCACTTTGTTGCTTCTCTAGCTCAGGCATTTCTTTGTAATGCATACTCCTATTTGTTTTAACTGTTTACTTTTATGCCTCCAGGTCTAGGCTAGGGTCATCAAACTTTTTTATAAAGAGCCAGACTGTAAACTACATCCTGTTTGTGTCACGTGTTACTGTTATTTTGTTTTGCTTTTAAACAACCCTTTAAAGGTGTAAAAACCATTACTGGCTTCTGGGCTGTACAAAGGCAGCAGACTAGATTTGGCCCTTAGGCCATGGTTTGCTGATTGCTCAGACCAGTGCTCAACACTCCTTAGATGGGCTCACTGGATATTTACTGAATTCAAAATCAAGAGTGTCCTGGAGACAGGCTTAGAATCAGTGCCACTGATCAGAAGATGCATGTGAGTTCTTGTATCCCGCAAAGTGAAAGCTATTCTTCCAACTTAGAATATGTGTAAGTTTTTTTAATTCCTGAGTGGAAATAAAAATTACTACTTGTATTGAAACCAACTAAAATTTAAGACAAAAAAAAAAAAAAAAACACCGAAAGATAACTGCTTATTAATCATCACAATAACCCTAGGAGGTAGGTTATCTACACTGTATAAAAATTGAGGCTTAGAAGTTTAGCAGTATTAAAGTTACACAAGTAGTACACAGAGATGAAACACAAATGATTCAGGTCAGTCAGAATGCAAAGCCTAAACTTAATCATGAATATAATTTTGAAAAAGTACTGTCAACTTTAAACCAATCGTCTATTTGGACAACCTATTAGCTCTCCCAGGCTGATCTCATCAAATATTATGCAGATTATAGTAGAAGCTGCGTTTACCATGCAGATCGCCATTCTAGACTGAGGCATTCATTCTCTAGCTGCTGGGAGTGTTGCCTGCCGTGTAGCTCAAAACTGAGCCCCTCCCCAGGAACTGCCCTCAGTTGAAGAGAAATCCCCCTTCCCAGAACATCCCTTACCCAGTGACTTCTATGGGGTGAGTGTGAATGTGTAAAAGTTCAACCCCCTTGTCCCAAAGTAGAATGAATTTGAAGAGCCATCTCAGCTCTAGAGCTCCCTGTGCGGATCAGCTCTTGCCTCTGCCCAAACCCGTCTTTGACTTTCTCCCCAACAACTATGGATCCCGTGGGCACTTTCCAACAAGCTTCCTGCATGCAGATCTCCATTTCAGAATCTATCTAGGGAACCTAACCTAAATTAGCACAGGCCTTGCTCCAGTCATTGATAAAAACAAAAAGGGCCATACATGATAGATACTGCTGGTGTCAGGCTTCTTACGTGGTCCAAAAACTGTACATGTGCTTAGATGCATTTTTATGGGATGAGAGTCAGTAGATACAACTGGCTTTTCTAAAGGATCCATGATCAAATGACACTGAAAACCACAACACGACGAACAACGGGCTGACCCTGATCCATCAGACACATCAACTTTGTTTTTAGAGTTTTACAGTGGTTGTTTAACCAGATATAAATCCATCTAACTGTCTTATTCAGCCCACATTTTTTCCCATCTTATTAAAAAATACATCATGAGAGGCGGTATGAAACTCTTCCTGAACTATGTTTGCTACAGTGTTCCCCTGATTATCAAATTCAGCTAAGTGTTAAAGTGATTTTGTTAAGGCAGCTAGGTGTTCTGTCTGAATTCCTTTTTAACTACATTTTAAAAACATTTCCAGAATTAAGGTAATTGTGATGGAGAAGACAGAAATAAAACAGGACTTAAGTAATTCTTCTGTCTGCTATCAGTTAACAAAGTGAGTCTATCACTTTCTCTTTGTTTCTCTGGCTCAAAATACCTGTTGTTACTATCGCTTTTTAATTAGTGAAACAATTGTTTCTTTATTCTGGCTCCAAATGGTCTTACAATCTTTGTTATCCTCAGCTGTGCCCCACTACCTCTACCTGTTATTCCTAACTCTTCCCAGATTGTGCCAGGGTTCTTGATCATGCACTTTTCCTTCCATGATTTCTCCACGTTCTTTTAAAATACAGAATCTCAGAATGACATTAAGGTTTCATTGCCTGCCCTACCTCCCTAAAGGAACTTTCCAAAGCACAAAATGCTTCTCAAAATTGTCATCAATACAACACCTTCTTCAAACCTTACTATTACTAACCTGATGAACTGTAGCATCCCCAGAACCCTGAGCATCCGAAGAACGGGTCACCGGAAGTGGTGGTACAAGATCTGTTTTTGAACTGCAGAGAATGAGTTTTAGAATTAGTGACTGGAACAGTATCTAGAATCATAAATTAAGTTGGAAGAGAACTACAGTGTAGATATAAAACATTTCCATCAGCAAGTAAAGTTCTTTTAGACTGCACTGTTTTGGAGCCATGATGGTGATGGTGTACTCTGGCCTGCCCACTTACTTCACTTCCGAGAGAACTGATCGCTCCCCATCTGAACACTGGGACCTGCGATACTGGCGGTAACTTCGTGGCGAATGAGAATGCCTGATGCGGATTGGGTCACCTTGTGTCCTGAACAAGCAACCAAGAAACATGAAAACAAACACCCAAAGTCAGAAAAGGAAAAGTAGGAGTTCTTAATATTGAAACCGCAAAAGAATAACAACTTTCAGAGTTTTAAAAAGAACTTGACTCCTAGGGTTTGAAAGCCTGAGTGACTTAAATTTCACAAGAAAAATGCTCCCTTGACAATATGTGAAAATGAAGCTCTTTAAAGTATTTGTGTGTATACATATATATATGTATGTATGTATATTTTTTAACAACCAAATTTTAAATGAAATTATTCCTTACCGTGGAATTCTTCTTAGTAGCGTGGAAGTAAACAAAATCTATAATGCAGACAAAATGGCATTCCTAATGGAAAAAGTTGGTCCGCTGTCCTAGCTACCAACATTAAGAATTCAGTCTTTACTTGAAAATTGCTAAGAAAGTAGATCTTAAGTGTTCTCTCCATAAAAAAAAAGTATGTGAGGTGATAGATACATTAGCTTGACTTCAGCATTTCACAATGTATACATATATCAAAACATCAGATTGTATAAACATACACAATTTTTATTTGTCAATTATACCTTAATAATTAAAAACAAATAAATAATTCAAATCTTTGACCTAAAGATGGGGACGGAGGGTGGCTGGGGTGTACCAACCTGCTATTTAACTGTGGTGGGAAAGCAGCATAGCTACAGAAGGGAAACAAAGCAGGCACTCACTTTCTCTTAACCAAGTACTGGTAAGGCAGAAAACACAGTCAACAGGTACGGTTCCTCTTACACTGGTGACTAAGGACTCCTGCTGTGCTTTCACGAAGCCTGCTCAATGTGCTGCTTCTATGCCAGGGATGGGACTGGGCTCATATGAGAGTTTTATGGTCAACATAATTCTCTTGGTGTAAAATAATGGATAAAAAACTTTATCAGTGAGAATCTCAGAAAAGAATTTATTTTAAAACTGACATTAATCAGGAAAAGCCCCCTTGTACCTACCAAGTACAAAGAGGTGGCTAATAAGAGATGATAGTGATTATAGTGTAGAATAAGTAGCTTTAATGCACACTTTTCTTCCTCTTTCGCTACTGTCACCTAGTTTTGTTTAAAATGTAAAGACAAATTAAAGCACTGTCTGGAACACAATTGAAGAATTAGAATGGATTACTCACAAGCACTAATAAAGCTTTGGTGAGAAGATTCTGAAAGGCACTCACTCTATTTTAGTGTATGGAATCTCTTTTAATTGTTCTTCGGACAATCCGGATGGATCCACAAGTTCTTTTCTGTAAAGGAATATGCAAGAAAATGATAGTTGTGGTGCTGGTATAAATGCTAGTATCTTTCACAATCGGCAGGTGAGTTTTCCCTTTCTAATCTTGTCCCAAAACAGTGTTAGTAAAACTAATGAAAATTTATAAAAACTAAACGTGTTCAAGGAAAAATAGGAGGGGTAAAACCTTTTCTGTAGCTCTTTTGCCTTCTTTCAATTCTTCTACATTCAGACTCCAGTCATTCCCCATTTCCCTATAAAAGATCTGCTTCTCTCCCCTGTGGTAGGTGTCTTTTTTCTTCTGGATTTGTTTTCCTTGGTATTTATTTGTAAACTATTGGCCTGTCTGAGGTCCATTTAGAGGCGAGACTAAATGACCCAAGGTGAGGAGGTGTCAGGGTTGCCTGTAGATAGGTGTTGATATGGTTAAGGCACCACCACCATGTGCTCCATGTGCCTGCCACACACAGTGGCAATGGCTTTGGCAGGCATCACGCTGAAGTTGCCTCTCAGTATCAGGAGTCTTCCTTGCAATTGCATTAAAACTACATGGGTTTTAAAACAATAAGAAAGAAAACTATTACTCACTGAATGTGCTTCCATAACTCTTCTTTTGCTTGGATATCGGGGCTTCTCCTATAAATAGAGAAAACAACATTCATCTCTGCAAACATGCTTCATCTCACAACCTAATAACTAACTTTAATAGTTTTCAGACTGTGAAGTTCTTATTTGCCAGCTGAGAACAGACAAGGAAAGACTGGACAGGGAGAGCCATTGTGATGGTTAGTATAAAGACACCAGCAGCTAAATTGCTGCTACTGCCGCTGAAGGAAAATCATAAAACCCAGTCATAACCAGAGCTTCATTTAATGAAAGACCTCAGAACTGCAGGGTCATATGCCTCCCCATCCAGTGGTAACTGTACAACGAAGAATGATTCAGGGCGTCTGTTTCTGATCTTTCCAGATATTTGTAAGTAATGGTAAAAGAAGAACTCATCCTGATTCTAAAAAGTTCCAACATGATCTGTGATTACCTAGGAGAAGCAACCACCAAAAGGAAAAAGCAACTGGTGGGATGGCCCTGATGGCAGACTGTACCAATGACCCATCTTTCATGTTACATCTGGTGTTGCATTTCTGCAACAAAACTTGGGCCAGCAAATGCTAGGACTATCAGTGGCCTTGGCTCATGCTGCCACCCTCTTTACGCCCTTCTCCATTCCTAACTATTGACTCTGCAAATCTTTTCTCCAAGAAGTATGTGAGCAGATATTATACCACTATCTTTAACTTCCTAGAATGAAAAATTCAGTCAGCATTCAAGTGTTTGTACTCTCTGTAGTATCAACTATTTCTCCCATTGTAGCAATGAATGCAGTGAAATCTATTATCACTGCAATTGTTGACACAGAATGATTTTTCTTCATAGTGAGAAAATAAGCTTTCATCAGTCCCTTTAAGAGAACAGAGATCTAGTAATAGGCCAAAAGAAAGAACAAATAATTAAAAGCCACTGATCCTATGGAATTGTATGTGATTAATCTGTATTAGCATTTGGGGGGCTCAATAATGCTTTTAGTGTATGATATCATTAATGCTTTCATTCTTCTCGATTCATAAGGGCACCACTACGGTATTCTGGTAGGGCTTCCTGAACCTACAGAATACACTAAGCTACTTTCCAGCCACTGAGTTGACCAAATGGTTTTTCCTTTGTGCAGGGGGAAAAAAGTGATCTGTCTATAAAGACCTTTTAATCAACTCAGGATGAGACAAAACATGAAAAGGAAAAAGGGATGAAATCTTGGTCTCAGACCAAATATGGTACTGTTAAATGTAGATGTTCTTTGTTTTAAGAATAAGATTAGGCTGGGCATAGTGGCTCAAGCCTGTAATCCCAGCACTTTGGGAGGCCAAGGTGGGTGGATCACTTGAGGTCAGGAGTTCAAAACCAGCCTGGCCAACATGGCAAAACCCCATCTCTACTAAAAATACAAAAAATTAGCTGGGCATGGTGGCATGTGCCTGTAATTCCAACTGCTTAGGAGGTTGAGGCATGAGAATCACTTGAACCTGGGAGGTGGAGGTTGCAGTAAGCCGAGATCACACCACTGCACTCCAGTCTGGGCAACAGAATGAGACCCTGTGCCAAAAAAAAAAAAAAAAAATTGTATGTTTCTTACAAATCATAGAAACTGCTTCCTTGGTGTCCTGTATGTATTCTGCCTTTCCTACATTTGGTTGGTCTGATTTGCTAGATAATATGTTAACCCCATTAAATGATACTGTCAGAGAAAGTGCTAATATTAAAAAGCACTAAGGTGTTATTCCATTCTGACAGAATGATGGTTCAGCTGTGACTATACCCCAGGATCTATTTCTTACAGTCAACCAAGAGTCTGAAGTATTACATAATATCCAGGTTAGGAAGCTATTCTACTGATCATTATTCTTATTTCAGGAAGGTATGATAGTGGGCATATCAGCTTCTTCTAGTTACAGCAGGGTTTCCCACCCTTGGCCCTACTGACATTTTCTATACTAATTCTGTGCTGCAGGAGGCTGTCCTGTGCATTGTAGCATGATCAGTAGCACCTGTGGCCTCTACCCAACTAGACGCCAGTAGCACCTCCCCAGTGTGACAGCCAAAAATGTCTGTAGACAATGTCCCCTTGGAAGCAAAACTGCCCCCAGTTGGAAAACCACTGATTAAGGGTATGACCTAGGAATTAAGTGGCTATGGTTGGGTGGTGGAAGCCAAGTTTTTGTAAAGATCCATTATGTGAGTACTAGAATAGTGCTGGAGAGAGTGACAGTACAGCAGAACCTAAATCTTAAAAGAATGGGAAAATGACCGAGGGTGCAGTTGATGACAACTACCGGAAGTGGTGAGTGGTATCATGTGAGGGCATGCAATTCAAAGCTGAATGCTTTCAGGGTGGACACGGGGAGAATGAGGAAAGTTATGAGTGGCCAGGAGGACATACACCCCATGATATCAGGCCTAGTGGTGAGAGATAGTGACTATGAACAATACATTAAAAAAATGATAACATGATAACAGTGGATATGTCTGAGTGCTGGTATTGCAGGTAATTTTATTTTCTTGTTTATGCTTTTCTATATTTTCTGATCTTTTTAAGCCAGGAGAATTTCTTACCTTAGTTATCAGGAAAAAAAATAAGAGTGTTTTCATGTTTTTTTTTTTAAATATACTATTATTGTAATTCCAAAGGAAATGCTTTTCATTCCCATCTCAGAAGAATTAGAGAAATGTTATCTTTGTTTTTTTTTTTTTTTGAGAGAGAGTCTCGCTCTGTCACCCAGGCTGGAGTGCAGTGGCCCCATCTCGGCTCACTGCAAGCTCCGCCTCCTGGATTCAAGCGATTCTCCTGCCTCAGCCTCCCGAGTAGCTGGGATTGCAGGCATGTGCCACCCTGCCCAGCTAATTTTTGTATTTTTAGTAGAGACGGGGTTTCACCATGTTGGCCAGGATGGTCTCCATCTCTTGACCTCATAATCTGCCCACCTCAGCCTCCCAAAATGCTGGGATTGCAGGCGTGAGCCACTGTGCCTAGCCTGAGAAATGTTATCTTAATCTGAACGAGATCATCAGACCTTCTAGCCATTAACATTGGTCCTAAAAGATTGAAGAGTTTAGTCTTTATTTTTACATTCTATAGCACCATAAAAGTCCTATTTTTAACTAAACTAAGTTCTGACGTGGCCAATAGTTTCAAACAGTTTTAAGGCGAGGAAAAGTTCCAAAGCTTAAAAAATGCTAATTTCCTCTGATTGCTAGACCACCTGTGATTTCACAAATGTCAACACAAGCTGCATGTTAATGAGGAATGTATTATTTTTATGCTTACATCTGCACACACATTTAATCAATAATTTAGGATGAATTCATGATCTGCAGCTCAGTGTTATCTTGTGGATTTAGAAAGCTGTGGAATTCCAGCAGTCATTTTTCTTAATTTGAGGCACTTAATTATGCAGATGTTTTACTTAAACTCTCCAAATAAATTCCTAAGGAAAGGAAATAGAACCCTGAGTTGTCCATAGGTACGACATATATAGAAAATAAACATGCAGCCCAGTATTAGTCCAGTATTTTTCAAAAGCATCCCTCCTCCACATACAAATATTCCACTTTAAATTAATCAGAGAAATTAGTTTGATGACACATCATTCACAAATCACTTTCCCTTATTCCAAAACCCTGAAACAAACATATCATAAATCTACAAAGGATTTAAACTCCATCACTGCATATAATCATTTTAAATATCCCCCAAACTATTCAACTATATTATCTAAAAACATAATATGGGCAATACATTATCCAGTAATATATTTACTATATTTTGTATATTATACTAAAAAATATGGCAGTATTTTACTCTTTTTTTGTCCATCTTTATACTGATCACTCCTCTGAAAGGAAATTTAGAGTGGAAAATATGTACATTTATAAAACATCTTTATTTAAGGAATTCAAAGCACCTAACAAATATCCCAGTCATTCTTTGTCACATTCCTGACGGGTCAAAATAAATCTAATTAGGAGATGTCTTACTCTTCTCCCTCCCCCTCCAAATCAAAGAAGCCTTAGGAAGCCACTGAGATGAACAACCTAGCTGCTGAAGATCGCTCAGGAGGCACTTCCGGGTTGGGGGTGGGGGTTCATGTTATATCTTCACCTAACACACCAGACTTATATGTTTTGTGTGTAACTGAGAACATCGCCCTGACGGCCTCATCTTCCACAGTATCAGTACTTTTCAATAAAAATAGTAAGATATTATCACCACCAGAGGGAGCCCGAACCTTCTCTTGCACCCAGGTTTGACCCTACCAAAACCATTGTTTACGCTTTAATACCTCTTCCAAATATCCCACTGAGTAAAGGTTCACCCATGTAGAAAAGCAGGTTCAACAAAGCTTTTTTCCTAGTGATAAACATCAACTGTAGCTGAAAAATGTACTAAATAGAACTGTACTTCCCAATGTTTTAACAGAGATCTAATCATATTTCAGCTTAACGCTTTTTAGTAGAAAACAGTTTTGTATTTTATACTACTCTACTCTTATGTCTCTGGTATTTAATAATGAATTGATTTTCTAGCTATTTGTTGCGGATAAAATACAAAAATGAATAATGGTGTATCATAACCTTCTGACCCTTAATGGATACCTAATTTACATATACTGCAGTAGGAATTTAAGAATATGGGAGTAATGGAGAGATCAGTGGTTTACTGTACATCTGAAATGCCAAATATACATAAATATTTTTATATAGTACATATATTTTAAAATATTTTCTATATTATGTATATATTATATCTGAAGATATGTGTGTGTGTGTGTATATGTATATATATATGAAGGATAATTTTGATTGCTTTCCTTGAATACTGCCCTAGCCATGTTTCCACTTTTTCTAAGGGATGCGGTCTCACTATGTTGCCCAGGCTGGTCTTGAACTCCTGGCCTCAAGCAATCATCCCTCCTCAGCCTCCCAAGTAGCTGGGACTACACATACAAGCCACCATACCCAGCTTATATTTCCACTTTTAAAGAAAGCTGTAGTGGTTCCTAAATCCTCACACAACCAAATTCAAGTCTCTAAGGACTTTTTGTGAGTTGCCTTATCTACTCTCTTCATTTCTCACCACCTCCTCATCTCAAGGAAAAACACAAATACCTTGCAGTGTTTCTAGAGAATAACTAAGACCTGGGGGAACTTACTAATAAAGGCTGTGACACAGGCACAACCTCACTTAATGCTCAGCAAAATCCTAAGAGCGTGGTACCATCAGTGTTGTAGAGATGGAAGCTCATGGGGATCAGGTAATAAGCTGAAGATCCAGAATGCAAACAACAGCACCCAGCAGGTATTTTATTAATTGTCAATCAATCTCAGGCTTTTAACAGTCATAACTCAAATAAAGGACAGAGCTCAGTTTGTGCTATATGAAGTAATCCATCATCCTTAAGAGTTACAACATTTGTATTCAGTTGTCCACCTGACATTTCCATTAACTGCCTACTTGGCATCTCAAACCTAACAAAGAGAAATCTTGATTCTCTCCCCCCCAAAACATTCCTGGCCCATCCCTTCCCATCTCAGTAAAACACGATGCTACCCACTCAGTGCATCTGCTCAGAAACTCAATGTCATCCATAATACCGCTCACACTACAAATCTGTCAGCTGTACTTCCAAAATGTATATTCATCTACTCTCTTCATTTCACCACCACCATCTTTTCTGAGCTAAAAGCGTCTCACGTGGACCACTGCAAAGTTTTCTAATTGCTTTCCTGCTTCCTTTCTTCCTCTTTCTCAATCTGCTTTTTACCCACCAGAGCAACTTTTTTTTTTTTTTTTTTTTTTTTTTTTGAGATGGAGTTTCACTCCTGTTGCCCAGGCTGAAGTGCAATGGCGCCATCTCGGCTTACTGCAACCTCCGCCTCCCAGCTTCAAGCAATTCTCCTGACCCAGCCTCCCAAGTAGCTGGGATTACAGGCACCCACCACCACACCCAGCTAATTTTTGTATTTTTAGTAGAGACGAGGTTTCACCACGTTGGCCAGGCTTGTCTTGAACTCCTGAACTCAGGTGATCGGCCTGCCTTGGCCTCCCAAAGTGCTGGGATTACAGGCATGAGCCACCGTCCCCGGCCAGCAACTTCTAAATGAACTACTATCCACACAAATATATATATATAATTTTTTTTTCTACTTTAACTGCACTTTGGCCGTATCAGCTGAGAAATCTGACACAGGTCCTACTGGACTAAAATCAAGGTGTTGGCATGGCTGCATTCCTTTCTGCAGACTCAAGGGAAAATTCATTTTCTTGTGTTTTCCATCTTCTGGAGCTGCCCACATTTATTCGTTCAAGGCCTTTTCCTCTATTTTCAAAGCCAGCAACAGCAGGTTGAGTCCGTTTCAAACTGAAACACTCTTCCTCTTCTGTCACCTCTTCCACTTTTAAGAAACTTATGATTACTTTGGGCCTACTTGGATAATCCAGGATAATATCTCTGGGTGAGGGTCAACTGATTAACAACAGCCTTAATTCCACCTGCAATCTTAACTCCTCTCTGCCATCTAGGGTCATATATTCACACATTATGGAGATTAAGCCATGGACATATATCAGGGGTCATTATTCTTCCCACCACAGTAACTAAGGTTTTTCCTCCTCTTAATTTCTTTATATAAAAACTCACTGTTTAAGCAAAGATACATTAACATTTTAATACGAGGCTTCTAACAGGCAAAAATAAAATATATGACAATAGCACAAAGCACAAGTGGAGCTATATTTTTCCAATGTTTCTAAATTTTAAATGTTACAATATTCATCTTAGGGTGTGATAAGGAACCATACTGATAAGAATCATACTTACAGAGAGAAAGCAATAAATAAAAAAATAATAAAAGTATAGGTAAGATATCAGTAGAGAAAATAAAATGGAGTATCAAAAAATATTCAGTTCACACAAAATAAAGTAGGAAGGGAGCAACAAACCAACAAAAAACAGGCGTAATAAACCAGAAAAAAGAACAAGATGGTAGATTTATATCGCAAAATACAAATAATTATGTTAACTGCTAGCAGGCTAAACACTGAACTTAAAAGACAGGGATTGTCAGGCTAGAATTAAAAAAAAAAAACAAAAAGACCAACTGTACACTGTTTACAAGAGGTGGACTTTAAATATAAAGACATAACTAGGCTTAAAGTAACAGATTAAAAGGATATACCATGCAAACAGTAAACATGAAGAAGGTATGGTAGAATTTATGCGTGTGCATGTGTAGTGGACACAGAGAAAGTATTGCCAGAATAAAGGGTCATCAGTTCATCAGGAAGGAAAAAACCATACATATGCATACACCTAACACCAGAGCTTCAAAATAACTTGAAGTAAAAACTGACAGAATTAAAGGAAAAAACAGACAAATTGACAATCACTGTTGTAGATTTTAACATCCCTCTCTCAATGACTACTTGAAAAGTAGATGAAGAAATAAAAAAAAAGACACAATCTGAACACTATCAGCTAACTGCATCTATTCGACAACCAGTAACTGAGACTCCTCATTCTTCTTGAGTCTACAGATTATTCATCATTAAAAACCATATGCTAGGCCTTAAAACAAGTCTCAATAAATTTCAAGGGATTAAAACTGTTCAGACTTTTTTTTTTAACCACAATGGAATTAAATTAGAATAATAATAATATTTGTAGAAAATCCTGAAATATTTGGAAATTAAACACACAACTAAAAATGCCAGCATCAAAAAAAGACAAGATACATTAAAAATTATTTTGAACTGTATGATAACAAAAACAATGTCAAAAACATGTGAGATATAGTTAAAGCATGGCTGAAAGGGAAATTTATAAATTTATGCTTATATTGGAAAAGTAGAAAGGTTTAAAATAAATGTTATCCTAAGAAGATGAAAAAAGAAGAGCAGGTAAAAGACAAAATAAAAAGAATAAAAAGTACAGTCAATGAAACAGACAACAGATAGCAAAGAAAAAGCAACAAAATCTAAAATTGGTTCTCTGAAAAAAATAAATTAAAAAAAAATGAAGAGAAAACACAAATCACCAACATCAGGAATTAAAGTGGTGATATCACAACAGATTTCACAGATGTTAAAAGCACAGGGAGAATTATAAGCAAATTTTTGCTGAAAGATTTGACAACTTAGATAAAAATGAAATTATTTTAAAAGTATAAATTATCAAAACTTACACATAAGTATAAAATATGAATATCTCAATATCTGTCAAAGAAACTGAATTTGTAATTTAAAACCTTCCACAAAGAACATTCCAGGCAGAGATTGTTTCACTGGTGAATTCTATATTTAAGGAAGAAAAAAATGCTTTTATATTAACTCATTCAGAAAACAGAGGAAGAAGGAATATTTCTCAAATTATTTTAAATGACCAATATAATATTTTTACCAAAAACCTGACATTACAGGAAAATTACAGATCAATTTTTCACAAAAACAAAGAAAAAAATCTTAACAAGGTAATGCCAAATAGAATCCAGCTACATACAAAAAGGAAAATACATCATGACCACAAGGGGCTTATGCTAGGAATGCAAGGATGTGTCATTCAAAATTGAATCCATTTAATTCCTCCACGAACACAATAAACCCATATAACAACTATCTCAACAGATGCAGAAAAAGTTTATAACAAAACTCAAGACCCATTCATGATCAAAACTCTTCACTAACTCTTAGCAAACTGGAAATAGAAGGGATCTTCCTAAATTGTGCAGCTAGCATCATATATAATGTGACATATTGAATGCTCTCCCTTTATGAAAAAGAGCAGCCAAGGATGTCTGCTTTCTTACCACTTGTATTCAACATTGTAACTCAACACTGTACTACATGATCTAGCCAGTGTAAGGGAAGGAACAGAAATAAAAGACAGAAAGACTAGAAATCAAGGAAAACTGTTCACAAATATGATTGTAACCGCAGAAAATCGTAAGAAACTGCCCCCAACCAAAAGCTTCTAGAGCTAGTAAGTGAATTTAACAAGGCTTATGGGGTGGCAGGATGTAGCATCAGTATTTTTAAAAATCCTTTGTTCTTCTATATACTAAAAAACAACTGAAAAATAAATTTTCTGAAATATAACAAAATAAATTACTCCGTACTGAGAACTATAAAACATTGCTGCAAGAAGATAAAAACAAATGGATGAATAAGATATTTATTTTCTCAAAATTGATCTATACATTCAACATATTCCTAGTCAAAAGTCTTTGGGGGAAGGCAGTAAAAACTGACAAGTTGATTCAAAAATTTACACAGAAATGCAAAGGTCCTAATAAAATAGCTAAAACAATCTTGCATAAAGGGGGAGAGGGAAAGCCAAAGTTGGAGAATTTACACTGCTTTATTCAAGTCTTACTATAAAGCTACAGTAACCGAGACAACATGATGGCTTAGGGATAGACAAATAGATCAATGAAACAAAATTGGCCCACATGTGAGCAGTCAATTCACTTTCAACAAAGGCCACAAGGCATTTCAATGAAAAGTCTTTTCAAAAATGGTGGTGGAACTGGATAGACTACAGGAAAAACACCTCTCAATCTCTACTCATCCATATACAACAACTAATTCTAAATGGAACACAAACCTAAGTATAAAAGCAAAATCGATAAAGCTGCTAGAAAAAGATATAAGACTATCTTTGTGACCATGAGGTAAGCAAATACCCCTTAAGATTAAAAAAAAAAAAAAAGCCTTAACTAGAAATGAAAAAAACTGATACACTGGTCTTCATCAAAATTAAAAAGTCTGCTCATCAAAAAGCAATGTTAAGAACATGAAAATGCAAACCACAGCCTGGGAGAAAGTATTCATTCATAACGTGCATATCTGAAATTGAACTTTTATCCAGAATACATAAATAACCTACAAATGAATAAGAAAAAGGACAAACAATCCAATTAAACTGGACAAAAAATTTGAACACTTTAAAAATGAAGATATATGAATAACCAGTAAGCACACAAAAATGTGGTTATCATCATTAGCCATGAAAGAAATGCTCACTAAAACTACAATGGAATCTCTACTTCATGCCTAGTAGAATGGCGAAAATTAACGCAGCAACAAACTCAAATACTAACAAGAACTGGGGCAGAACAAGACCCTCTCGTATCTTGTTAGTGGAGTATAAAATGACCCAACCTTTCTGGAAATCATTTTGGTAATTCCTTATAAAATTAAACATGTGGCCGGGCGTGGTGGCTCATGCCTGTAACCCCAGCACTTTGGGAGGCCGAGGCGGGCGGATCACGAGGTCAGGAGATCGAGACCATCCTGGCTAACACGGTGAAACCCCGTCTCTACTAAATATATAAAAAATTAGCCGGGCGTGGTGGCGGGCGCCTCTTGTCCCAGCTACTCGGGAGGCTGAGACAGGAGAATGGCGTGGAACCCGGGAGGCGGAGCTTGCAGTGAGCCGAGACTGGCCACTGCACTCCAGCCTGGGCGACAGAGCGAGACTCTGTCTCAAAAAAAAAAAATAAATAAACACACAAATTCCCTCTAATCCAGCAATTCTACTCCTAGGTATTTGCCCAAGCGAAAGAAAACAAATTCCACACACATACTTGTAGAGAATGTCTATAACGCAATGGCAAAAACTGGAAACAATTCAGCTGTCCATCAAGAAGAGAATGAATAAAAATATTGCAGTATATACAAAAATTTAAATGACCACTGATACCATGGATGAAGCTCAAAAACATGTTGAGTGAAAGTAGTAGTATTTTAAAGGAGTATATATTGTGTTATTACATTTATATGAAGTTCGACAAGAGAGAAAAACTCATCATAGATATCAGAACAGTGGACCAGGCGCAGTGGTGCACACCTGTAATCTCAGCACTTTGGGAGGCTGAGCCCGGTGGATCACTGGAGGTCAGGAGTTTGAGACCAGCCTGGCCAACATGGTGAAACCCCATCTCTACTGAAAATAGAAAAATTAGTTGGGTGTTATGGCAGGTGCCTGTAATCCCAGCTACTCAGGAGGCTGAGGCAGGAGAATGGCTTGAACCCGGGAGGCAGAGGTTGCAGTGAGCCAGGATTGGGCCACTGTACTCCAGCCTGGGTGACAGAGAAAAAAAAAAAAGAAAAAGAAATCAGAACAGTGGTTGGTTGTGGGGGTGGGCACTGACTAGAAGGAGCATGAAGGAACTTTCCGGTTAATGGAAATATTCTATATCCTGACTGGCAGGATGGATAGGTTATGGATACATTTGTCAAAATTCATTAAACTGTACATATAAGATGAGAGGATCTGGCTGTATGTAAATTTCACCTCAAATTGCCTCAATTTTAAAGGCTGTTAAATGAACCTCCGACCACTTGACTAAAAAATTATTAAATTCCCAGGCCCACTACAAATAATTACTCCATAATATAACTGAATTATAGTAATAACAATTTTAAATTATTCTATTTCCCAATTTTTATTTACAAATGAATGGTTCCATTTATTTACTATTGCCTCCAGGAATGTTTTTTGACTTCTTCAAAACTTATATATAGGACTTTTTCTAATTTTATTTTACTTTCCCCTTTTTAAATAAATTAAATGTACTACTGGCATTTAATTGAACTCAGAATGCTTTAGAAATAGTTAGAAAAACTGAATGCTGTTTTAAGATTTAATATCAAGTTGCCAAACCTTGTGTATAACAAGTCCTTCATAGAAAACTATTCCACATGGAAAGGTAAAAATATGGTGGCAAAAGATTTACCCGTGACTACGCTGTATCTAATCTTGGGTTCTGCACCTTTTGGGTAAAGTCCTTCAGTGAGGTCTGATTCTTTCTTATCTAAACTTCCTTTTTTTTTTAATGGAGTTGGGGGAAGGTGCTATCTCACAACAAAGGAAATCTTCATTAACTTCAGCTTTAAATTGACTACCAGTTTAATTAGGTTGCTAAAAAAAAATTACAGAGTAATTAATACATCTGTAAGGGTGTACATGGTGTAGTGACTATTTGCAGGTTTTCTATTACAAAAGAAAGTCATCACTCATAATGATGCATTACTGATAAAATACACACATATACACGGGGTTAATTTCTAATTGAAAGGTAAACATCTAAGACTGAGAAGTGTCCCTTAGTGTCCCACAGTAAAAAGAGTCCTGGTGTGAACCCCCCGGTACACTCCAGAGTTCTTTCCTAATCTCTTTTAACCTGATGTGGCACTCACAGCTGTCCTCTTGTCACCCTCCTGCCTGGCTCCCTCAGAGCTCCCTACCTACCTACCCAGTCTCTACCTCCACTACCCAACATCCTTTCATTTCCTTATCATACACGACTGGACTTAATCCCTCCTCCTGTGAGTAATCAACATCAGACATCTAACTACCCACGATCACAAAAGGATCTGTACTTAGTCTTGGCTCACTTTAAAAAGGTGAGCCATGGTTTGGCAAGTGGAGTGGGAGTGAGGCGTCTAAATCTTGATAATGCACAGATTTAAAACACACACGCACAGAAACTTTACCAGCTCAAAGACAATTAATTTGGGGGACTGGCAATCACACCATTACGGTGTAATTGTGCTCACACATGGCGTTGCCTAGCAACAGGAGGAGCACGCAAATTCCAACACTGAGGTGTAATGAATCACTCACTGACTACTGTTCACAAATTGTATTTTGATGGGAAGATATTCACATCTGGTTCAGTCTGGAACAAGACTTCAGAGAATTGTGCAGACTCAAACTGAGAAGCAGCAGGTATTTCACCAACAGCCTGGCTCTACAACAAAGAAGACTATTCCTATTTATTCAGGTGAATGTATACTTTGGTTAAAAACAACACAAAACAAAAATATGGCTTTGAGGGCCTTGTTTTCATGACATTTTGTTTTGACTGTGCTTCAACTTCTATGGCTTCAAACATGGTTAATAAATGTCACAAATATTAGAAGGTAAATATGACAAATAAACAATGAAATAATCCTAGTTGAACTAAAACACTTTAGAAGACCTGAATATCCACATGCTACTTCAAATTCAGTGTTTTTGAATCAAGGTATAAAAAGAGTCCACATACGAACGAGATCTGTGTCTGGATCGCCTGTTGTTGGGGTCGGCTTGGTTTTTTTCCTTTTGTCTCCTTAATACAGCTTCCCACTGAGGCGCTGAATCAACCATATCATTCTCCTGCCGTATTCTGAAAGGAAAGCCATGCATCTGAAGTTAACATCTACATGGATGGCGCGTTTTAGGTTCATCCTAAACTTGCTTTTAAATGTTATTTAAGCAGCAGAAATTTTATTATGATCATTTATAGCTAAAGATGCATATTAACTGAATTAATATATCCATATGTAGGTAAGCATATATAAACCCTCAGAAGTAAATAATACTCATGATATATGTAAACACATTATTTGCAGACTTCTGATTTTAATTTTCTAGGAAAAAGACATGTATCAAAAACTTATTTTAAACATTTCTAAGTTTCGACTAAAGAAACTCTGGTGTCTGCTATAGAGCCAATCTTAACCAATGCTACAAAATCATTATTTTAAATGTGCTAGTCAAAATAGTAATAAATAGTTTTACTTTGAAATACTCTTAAAAAGTCAAGCTAATTGTCAAAGTTTTCATTAAAAATAGGTGCCAAATATAATTCCCATTTTTTGAGAGAGAAATCTAGAAGTACAAAAAGTTAAATATGGTGGCATAATGCATTAGCTGAATAAGACACACCATTCCCATCATGGCTGCTCACATGTTTAAGACGGAATGACAGTTGGATGCTGGATGTGGGCAGGGAAGGAATGAAAATGAGGAAAAGAGAAAGGTGGGAAAGACTTGGAAGCACAGGCACTTGACATGTAAGATCACAAGACAGTGTTACCAAATCCTCTCATTTTTTTAAAAAAAGATAATCCCCAAATCTGGATTCTTAAAGTGAACTCTTCTAATTTTTAAGTCTTGCAACCAATTCTAAAGCATGATATAGACTTAACAAAACCCATGGACCACACTCAACCTGCAGAAATTTTGGACTTCCGAGGTATCAAGTCTTTCAAATAATGAGGTGCACTATTGGCAGGAGAGAAGAAGTACTTAATTTATGTGAAATACTGTCTTGAATGCACCACAATGATGCTGTGAAGCCTTTTTTTTTTTTTTTGGCAAAACGGAACCCCTGTTATTTGAATATTTAACTTCTAATTTATGTAAGCTCTTCAGAAAACTGCTCCAGAGTGTTCATCTCCCAGGGTATACAGAGCGGCATGGAATTGCCAGGCACTCACCCCAGTACTGCAACTGCATGAGCATAACTGCTTCGAGACAAAAGTAAAAAGAACAGGCAGGCTTGGAGGCATTTCCTTCTCTGAACAGATGTCTTTTGGTTCCTCTGTTATTGCACTTAGTATAGACTGTGGGCTGGATATCTGGATTTGCTTACAGGTGCAAATCAGTGGATGGGTGACAAATATTCATTTCACATATAACTTAGACATAATGTAAAGCAAATTCAAGTTGAAAAGAACAGCACTTTGTGAGGAAGAAACTGTTTAAATCTCTCTAGATTAAAGAAGAATTGTGCTAAGTAAAAAACTATCTGTAACATACTCCAAGCCTTTGAAGTGTATGTATTTCCTCACTAAAGTTTTCATTTTTAATAGGCTATTATTTGAAGATTAACAGGATACTGTCAAGGTATTTTTCACAGATTTAAGAGCATAATTCTTTCTCTCATTGCATGTACAGAGTAAATTTAAATTGAACATATACTGCTATGGACCTTAATATTAGAAATATCTGAAGAAAACTATGAGAAGGTATACTACTTGAGGTCATAATTATTAATCATTCTTTGAAACAAACACTCCCATTTGAAAATGGCATGTTGGTACCCGTGTGTGCTGTAAACACACACACATTTTTGTAGCCAGAACCTACACCTAAAAGCCATTCTGTGTTCATGTGACAGTCAGAAACCCACAAGGCTTGCTGGTAGGGGAGCAGTCCTGGACACCCCCAGGACTGAGGGGTCAGGGTTAGGAAGAGACAATCACGGGGAAGGTGCTGCGCTGGCAAGGTGGCATCTCCCTTCCTACAGGAACCCACACCTGGATTGCTGGGCCCAGGATTGGACACAAAACTCAGGTCTCCTAACTCCTAACCCTGGAGTCTTTTAGGATGCAGCTTTCATTCTGAACAAAATCACTGTCCAGTTGATGGGCAGAACGAAATTTTACAATGTGAAATGTTTGTGTCAGGAAGTCGGGGCGTCTAAATATTTTTGAGAGGTCAAACCTGCTAACAAAGCTGAGGCCTAACTTGGGCAAACACATACTTTTCCTAGAGTAACAGACACTGAAAAGGAAGCACAGTTACTGTATGTTCATTCTCATCTATTGTGGAATTCAGCTGGCTACCCTCATACTCAGACTTCACTCTGATGATAAAAAATTAAAACTCCTGAGACATAAGCATGCGTATTTCCTGTATCCTGCTATAATAGTAATAAGGACCAAATCAGAAAGAATTCAAGATTATACATGTACCTTTACCTTTTTTTCTAACTGAAAAGTCTAAAGTGAGGGCAGTGAAACCCTGTCAGTTAATATCCTTGTGATCCACATGTTTCAAAGACAGATGCCCTCTACTGGCGATGCTGTTTCATAAATATTCTAACAAGATGCATTAAAAATGTAAGAGCCTTTGGAGAGTCACAACAGAAGCACATTTTCCTGAGTAATGGGTAGTGTGGCGGCCTTGGCCTGTAATGAAGTTTGAAATTACATCCTTACAAAAGACCTCTAGTTAATGGTGCCTCATTACAAGAATGAAAGTGTCATTTCTTCCACTGCTGAACCGCTCCAAAAAACACAGGTGCTACTTGGAAAGAAAAAAATCCTAGCCCTAGAAGCAAGAATATTGTAGCACTTTGTCCTTAAGAGGCAGGAGTAACTATTTTGTTTATGCATGAGTGAATAAAGAAATCTTTAAATGAAAAAGATATGTTTACTGTGATAATTCTGACTTTTTAAGTCTCATTTATTCTCAGGTATGGGGGATCCAAATAGTTTTTTGCTCCTTTCCTGCTCTATTTTAATCTCGATGTATAGATTTACATCATGAAGAATAAAATACCACAAACATTGTTTTGACATAGTACCTTTTAAAAAGTCAAAATGTGCTCTTACATCATAGTCATCAAAGTCTCAAAAAGGAAAAAGAGTCCGTTGTCATTTATGTTGTGGATCTATTAATTTTCAAATGTTGCATCTAAAGGTGAACCTCAATAAACTAACAAACATTTATTTCCAGTACTAATTGATCCAATAAGTCTACATTTATCCTATTTTGTCAATTTCTCCATCTGTAACTATGGAGGGTCAACAACTGTGGTAGGAAGTATATCATAACAAGGTTTTTGTTTTTCAGTTAATGTATAAGGGAGAGGGTTGCTTTAGAATACAGCAAATTCTAACCATGTTTCAGAACAGAATTCTAATGTATTTCTTCCATCTCTTACCAAACTTCAACACTCTACTTTTCCAGACTATCCATACAATTTAGATTTTAACTGCATTTGACATTTAATTAAGGTCTGCAAAGGTTTTGAAGATGAAATGCCATATAATCATTTGATAACAATGAAGAAAATGACTATTCCTAGCCTCTTCTTTCCTGTCTTACCAATTACAGTCCTTCCTCTTTTGCAAAATTCTTCACATTACCAATGAATTCTTACACAAATCCCCGAGTTTTATTGTGTCCTCTCCCTTTAGCAGTTTTGCTCCTAACAGAACCTTTCTTTACATAAGTTCTTAATTCACTTCTAATTCACTGAGATAAACACCATGCTTAATGCTGAATCTAAGAAGTCTTTCAGAGAGAATGTAAAATGAAGCTTCAAGATGATACAAGCCATAAACATTGCTCCTGAGTTTTCTCCATTCCCAGCTCTGCCATTATCTGACTCAGAGACCTTGGACAAACTGCTTATCTTTTTTGGTCAAGTCTCAGGTTGTTCATATATAAAATTATGGCAAAGATCCTTTCTAGCTTTAAAACTTGATGTTTCTCTATTTGTATTTTATTTCCAAACCAGACAGACACACTGAAAGAAACTTACACTCTTCAACTATAGCATAACATTCCAGACAATTGCTTCACATGGCCCCTCCATTGCCAAAATTAAATCTGCAGGCCCCAACTGATTGTGAACTTGTGTTTCTCATCAACTGTACTCATTTTTTTTGGATCACCTGCTATAAAGCAATCTTTTTTTTTTCTAGTTTTTCTTCCCTAGGGAAATGTATGTTGGTTCCAGGCATGTGTCGACATACTCCCTTAAGACCAGCAAGCAAAAAGTTCATTTGCTTTTCCCATTGTCTCTACCATCAATAAATTATTCTTATTTGCTCTTAAAGGTACTTCTGTCTCTTCCACTTATTCCTTACGTGCCCACTACTACAATGGGCTACCTCTGGCGCAATTTCCCTTTCAAACTCTCCTGTTTTCATGAATTTTTAACCTATTTTGCCCTCACTCAGTAATGTAACAGCATTCCTCAGTTGCTGCGGCTTTGTCCTTCCACAGTCATCTCTGCCAACCTTGATTATACTCTGGAAGCCCTAAATCAACCATATCAAATGTCTAAATCTTGATATATCCTATTAAAGTAGAAATCAGAAACCCTTGCATCTGCAGTACGGTGAACACTGTTTCCACTAGCTTTGTACGAACTCTTCTCTCCGTACCCAAAATTTTTACCTCGTTTGCAGCCCCTAAATCAGGGGCAGGACAGTAGGCAGTTCCTGGCAAGGAAGCGGTTACCTATTTTCAAGCAAGACGGAAGAAATGCCCATCAGTTTAAGTTTGCTAACATCCCAAATATATTTTTTCCCTAGGGTACAGGGACAATAAAGTTCTTCTTTACCACTCCCAAAACAAAATCCTACCAAAATTGTGATCTTCTAGATTTGCCCTAGTCAGATATATTGTCCCTCTTACAGTGCCAAATTTCTCACACAGAAATGTGCTTCCTCATTTTAGAAAAACAATATAAAAGACCTTATGGAACATAATTAAAATATTTAAATCTGTCTTAATCTACTATTTAGATACTGTAGACATCTGGTAGACCCTAAAAGACATCTAAAAGACCCCAATGTTGTTAGGGAGAAACTAGCAACATTCATGCCAGAACAAACTCATGTTAGAAAACACTGACTTATTTCTTGTTCAAGGGAGCTGGTCCCCATTTTACAGATCCTGCAGGAACTTCAGAAAATACTGAGCAGTGCTGGATGTTATCAATTTAACAGAACTTGCCTGTGCAGGGCACTTTCTACTTTTCAAAGCACATCTATTATCTCGGGAACTTCACAAACCTCTAGTGAGGTAGGCAGGTCAGGTATTATTCCACTTTGCATGTGAGAAATGAAGATTCACAGGATAAAGTAACCAGCTCAAAGCCACAGAATTCTTCAAAGTGGGTTCAATTTCATAGTACAGGCTCCCAGATTTGCATGTACATATATATGTACACAAACATGCAGCCTGACACTGACGTACATGACTCATGTTTATGATGCAAACATCCTAGAATAAAATTAGGGAAACGTTCAAATAGTCCCCTGTTGTCAATTTCCTCTAGTTCTACTATTACCCTAAGCTGCTCTCGTTTCTCTGTTTTAATACTTGGTAGGCTCCCAAGTTATTTCTACTTTTATGCTGATGGAAAAAAACGCACCAGACTATCTCATGTCACCCACTCCTCCACATCTCCCACTTCCAAACTTCTAAGAGCCTAGAAACACATCAAAGGTAATGAATGAATGAGTAATTCAAAGATTCTCCTCAGTGAATGCTCAAAGGACTGCTGATTTTCATCAATAGCACAAAGGATATTTTGTAGAACCTTTTCCTTGAATGTCAAGGATATTTTATTAAGCTTAAGACATATCCAGGTAAAGCTAGTTCATCAAAGGTTTCACTCTCCTAAGTCTACTTGCGAGGTCCTCCTTCATCCTACACCCTGGGCAAGTCCAGCACATGGCCCATGGTCTCAAACCTACAGCAATAAGCGAGCTGCTGGCCCTTCTGATCTCAGGGACGAGATTCAAAATTCTAACTAATAGAATCTAATATTCATGTAGATTAACTTTATAGTGCCTTGTACTAGGTAGGTTCCCAACTTCAAGAATTCAATAGAATCAACTGTTTCACAAATTAGTATAGCAAAGTAATCTCTAAAGAAAGTTTAGGCATTTTAGTTTTTAATCCTACCAGTGAATTGAAACACCAATTTCATTTCCCAGTAACAATGTAATCCTTCACTATTTAGATGATAAAACTTTGTAAGTTTTAAGGGGGGGGTGTTACATAAACACCCCCTTATGAATCTGATAAAAACTACAGACCCTATCTTTAGAAAACTACGCACTTGACGCCCACATACAATTTTACATACAATTTCATGGGGTTATGAAACCCCCAGCACCTACCCATGAATCACAAGTTAAGAATCCTGGTGTAAAAATAACCAAAGGTATAAAGTTAGGAAAGGTGGGAAAATGAAACATAGGACCAAAAGAAAAGTTGGAAGAGGATGGAGGAGAGGACAGGAGATGCCGTAGCAGTGAGTAACTCTGGAAGTGGGTATAGGACTACGTGGCTCTGTACTTCAAAGTGCTCTCACTTCTTACATTTCATTTGATCTTTACAGTAACTCATTCAACAAAATGGATCAGTTGTTATAGCATACCTCCCCCCACTCCCTGCCAACTTTAAAGAGAAAAAAACTAATACTTGAATTGGTTATACAAGTTGCCCAAGGTCAAGTATCAGCACACAGCAAAACCAAGACCCAGTCCCAAGTCCTCAGGTTATTCTGTGTCATACCATTGGCTCCTAGGGAGAGAGGGAATTCAAAGGAAACAGAAGAAAGAAAAAAGACTGGAAAGGAAGCCCAGGAAACAGAAAGGAACTGGGTGAGAATAATATGATATAAAAAGTGAAAAGTGAAGCAAGAGAATGGAGAGGGAGATGAGGATGTAGTAGAGAAACTAAAAGGAGAAATAAGAACTTTCTGTCATCTTAAATATTATTAAAAAAAACTGTGCCTCCAACTTCTATCTGGTTATAAAAAGAGAGTGAAAAATTATCATCTCAAATCTCAAAACCTAGAAAGCTGTAGGATACCCAACCGGATTATGAGAACAGTAAAGAAAGAATAAAGTGGAAAGGGGTAAGGGAAAACATAAACGATGTCCCAAATAAAGAAGCAGGGTGAATTACTCTGGTGTTCTAGGAAACACGGTAGGATGAAGCCCTACAGTTAGGGCACAATTAACACAAGGGCCCTTACACACAGAGCCTTGTTAGCTCTGGACCCAAAGGGGACAGACAGATGGGGTGGTTATTTACAGTTATATTTTCCTAAAATTGAAACTAAACAACAATCTTTGCTTCTAACATTAGCCTTCCAGAGCTGGTGTGGATTATTATTTTTTAAAATTTAATGGTTGTCAAAAGCCTGTTTTGGGTAAAGTTGATTCATAAATGTTGTTTTATTAACTTTTCTTTCTCTTCACACAAAATGAGAAATGTTTAAATGGTTATCCATGGAAACAGTAAAGCAGCTTATGCTCCAATGGGTTGACTTCGTGGAAAAAAGAAAACAATATTTCCATGGAGTGGCCTCATGCCTAACAGAAAAGACCTCATTTATGTTTAAAAAAAAAAAAAAAATCCTGCAAGAAGGAGTAGCAGAGGGAGCAACATCCCAAAGACCACATGCAACTTCCAGAAAGTAAAAGTGACTCTGTCCGGAGTTCCAATGGATACATCACGGGCTCCAAAAGAGGTTCTAAAAAGCAAATTTGCCCGGTAGTTGTCCCTCTCCATAGGCTACAGTTTCCTAGAGACAGGAAAGCAGGGTGCATCGGCGTGCAGGCTTTTCTTGGAAAGTAACGAAGCAACCTGGGGCTGAGTTTAGAGACCTTATGGGCAAGAGGTAGAACATCAGCATGTACAAGATTCTGTTTGCCCCATTATTGGGTTACCGGAGTGCTGTAGTAAAAGCACAAAGGACACTGCTGAGAACTGGCTGGATCACACTGTCAGCCAAGAAAAGGAAGGACGAATGAGGCTGAAGAGACTGCAGGGCTGCAGATGAAATATCCAGACCTATGCATCCTCATGTGGGATGAGTGGGTTCCGGCAAAATTTAAGAGGCTAATGATGGGATGGAGGGGTTGGCAGCAGCACAGCATAGCAGGTAAGTGGCACCAAGAGACAGACAGCACAATGAGTTTCCACCCTCTTTCTCTGTACAGTTACCTGTTGCGCCAGAATTTGCAGTGGTGGGGATCAGAACTGAAAGCTATATTTCTTCTTCCTCTGCCCACTTTTTGCTATGCTACTGACAGGCAGACTTTATACCACATCTTCTACAGCCATAGGCAACTTAGGTATTCCTAGAGCAATATTTCTATACGTAGCATAAATGATTGTGAAGGCCTGTTGGATTTTTTGCATGAAACGTGTCGGAATGTGTTTTGAAAGCTATTTCTCATTACTAGCCTTACAAAGTGCATTAAACATTCAGAATCACCGTTATTCTAAAATATACTTTTTACACAGTACAAAGAAAGCCAATCTAATCTGTCCAGGAAAAAGGGGGAAGAAACTCTTAAGGGAGAAAATACCTACAAGAAATATTAAAGCCAGTGCAACCAGATCAGTATGAGCAATTTAATTATTTGATGGCAACCTTTCACTAGTGTTTCATTTTCAGTAGCGAATGGTACTGTGAGCAATTTTGGCTCCCCCAAAAATGTTTTATTTTATTTATTTTCAGGGCCACCTTCTGAACAGTTGAGAACAGAACACTTATGGGCACAATTTAGAATATATTAGGTAAAACAGAAACAGACTTAAAATACTGGCTTGATCAATAAAAAGTGTTAAATAAGAAAATAAGTGGGTATTTTTGCTTTGTTTTGTGTTGTTTGCGCAGAAATACTGAATTTTTTATCAGAAAGAGGATACTTAAGAAGGAGCTACCTCCCACATATGGGTTTTCAAAGAAGAAACTGAAATCATTTCTTTGAGAAAGGTGTCGTAACACATTGAGATCTCCCATCTGTCTAGTGTAATTCCAGCCTCAGAAGGCTCCACATAGAATGCTTTCCTAAAAAAATGTCCACTCTTACAATGCTGTCTGGGCTATTATTACACAGGCTTTGTAGTTAGAGGATCACTGATTCAATTTGTGCCAAGCGCAAGGGTTCTAAGCATTAAAGAAAGACCTTGGAGATTATCCAATCCAACTTCCTCACTTTTCTTTCTTTCTTTCTTTCTTTTTTTTTCTATATGAGATGAAGTTTCTCTCTTGCTGCCAGGCTGGAGTGCAATGGCACAGTCTCGGCTCACTGCAACCTTCACCTCCCGGGTTCAAGCGATTCTCCTGCCTCTGCCTCCTGAGTAGCTGGGATTACAGGCATGTGCCACCACGCCCAGCTAATTTTGTATTTTTAGTAGAGACAGGGTTTCTCCATGTTGGTCAGGCTGGTCTCGAACTCCCAACCTCAGGTGATCTGCCTGCCTTGGCCTCCCAAAGTGCTGGGATTACAGGCGTGAGCCACCGCACCTGGCCTTCCTCATTTTTCAGAAGAGAAAAAAATTACCCAGAAAAGTAAAGCAACCAAGCCAGAGGTCCACATTAGGTGAAAACAGGTTTCTCAACAGTGGCACTACTGATATGTTTTTGTACTAGGTACTTATTTGTTGCCAGGTCCTGTCCTGTGCATCGCACGATGTTTAGCAGCATCCTTGGACAGTTGCAATCCCCCTATCCAATTGTCACGATAAAAAATGACTCTGGACATTGCCAAATGTCCTTGGGGAGAAGGCAGGGAGGACAAAACTCCCCCAGTTGAGAACCACTGGGTTAACAACTGGCATGACTGGCAACCAAATCCCTCTGACTCCCAAGGTGCTCTTTTCATTAATGACACAAATACTTCTTGTTTTCGAGTGCATATTTTGGAACTAGGGATAACTGATTAATGCATTAAGCCACCACTAATACTGACTACATGTCAAATGATGTGATTAAAAATATCTTAAAAATCTATCTTACATATATGGAATGTCAGGCACACACAGATGAGTAAATGCACATATTATTAGCATATATATATATACATAAGCCTGAAACCGCAGAATCTAAGAAACAATGAGTTATTTTTGGTTGGGTAAAATATAGTAATGCCATTGAAAAGATAGTTCAGGGAGAAATCTATCTACGAATGGTAAACTTTCTTACCAGCCTTAGAGAAATTCACTACACATTGTAGCTATATACAGAATCATCTTTTAAAACACACACACACACACACAAGAAGGGACCTCATTGTCAAGTTGTTTAATCATCTTATTGTGAAGATAAGAAAACTCCACTCAAAGAGCTAAAGTTTCCTAAACTAAGTGCTTCAAAATAGTGCCAGATTGCTTCTCAGACTCAGATGGAAAAAACAGACTTACAAAGGACACTCAGTTTCTACCACCAAGGGCAGCCTCTGATTTCAGAGTGCCAGTTAATTATAATATTGAGATATTACCTGTTTCTCTTTTTCCGGTATTCTCTATTAGAATTTTCTGATTCACTACCACTGCTGGTGTTACAGCGTGAACGTGACCTGAAGACAAAAAGGTAAGAACAAAAGAAAAAACACACATTTATAACTCACGAACAATTTCAGAAAGGTTTATATGGGTCCTCTGGAATTCATTTTGCAGTAAAATTATCAATCCAAACATCAAGAGCTGTATTATCCCTCTCCAAGTCAGTGTTTCTGAACTCAGTAAGACATCTGACTGAGTCTATAGCTCAGGGAAATGGCAATGCAGGGGAAATATAAAAACCGATTAAGGTGAATGTCAGTATGTTCCCAGAACGGACCGCAAAATCAATCACTTCCAACAGAACTCTGACATGGCAAAGCCGTAAGTCGGTGGTGGACTAAATATGGACACAAAATCTTGTAACCCTCCCATCCGCCCCACTGAGAGACGTAGAGTTTATTTCCCTATCCTCTGAATTTACACTGGTCTTGTGACTGATTTTACCAATAGAATGAGGTGGAAGGGATACTATGTCAGTTCCAGGACTAGCCCCTTAACCGACTGGTAGCTTCTGCTTCCTCCCAGCCTAAAGAAGTGTAAAAGAAGTGTCTACAGAAGTGTAAGCTAGCCAGGTGGAGAAACTATGCAGAGAGGTCCCAGGCCTCCAGCCTTTCTGCCAAGATGCCAACACGAAAGAGAAAGGCCCCCTGGATAACACAACCTCAGCTGTCATCTGACCACAGCCTCATGAAATCGTGAACAAGACGAGCTAAAAAGCTGCCTGTTCAATGGACAGAATTATACTAGATAAATAGAGTTGTTGCTGCTTTAAGCCACTGAGTTCTGCAGTGGTTTATAATATGGCAACAGATAAATAAGACAGCTCCTCTGAGACACAAAGGAGCAGGAAACAGCACAGTCTTAGGATGCAACAGAATGGAAGACTGGGAATCAGCTGAAGACAAACTGGCTTTTGAAAGTAAAAAAAATAAAAAAAAATAATGCCCCCGCTCTTTCCTTAACTCTGAGCATTTCTAAATCTGCTAACCCTTCTTCCCTCTGACTGTCCTTCCATTTTTGTTTTTTTACCTCCTCCTTTGCTTAAGATCTGAATCTTCACCACTGTTATGGGCTTTCCTGTGAAAACAAATGAAGACATTTAAGAAAACAGGAGATTATCAATTGGCTAAGGAAAGCACACCAAAATGAGTTTCACTTCAGTTAACACATATTTGTCATACATTCATTCATTTGCCAAACATTTACGTCATATGTATATGCCTAACCCTACATACAACACGTCCCAGAAATATAATGTTAATAACATCACCTGGCCTCACTCTAGTGGAACCTGCAAACCGTCCGAATTCCATTAATCCAATGATGAGGTTAGTCTGCAGTTTCAGAACTGCAATCCTCCAAGCTGATTTCTGCCATAGTGGAACTGACATCATCTCACTTGGATGCCCTTTCCCATACCCTGAGGCTCCAAATTCTCTTTATCTCTTCTCTCATAATCTCCTCCACTTCAACTCAGCAACCTACCTCATACTTACGACTTTATCATCTGTAACCACCTCCAAACACTTTGCTCTCTTACCACAATCTCCTCTTCCTCCTGTTTACCACTCGCCATTTACTTTCAAACAGCTTCAATGGGGCATCCTGGTTAAAGGTGCTGGCTCTAGAGCCAGACAACATGAATGTGAATCCCATCTTCTCCACTGATGAGTTATGTGATTTAAATAAGTTACTTTTCTACTCAGTGACTCATTTTTAATAGAATCTCCTTTAAAGTCTCCTCTAAAGGATAAAACGAATTAATACATTTAAAATGCATACACTAGGACCTGGGCCATTGTTAGCACTCAACCAAGATAAGCTGTTATTGCTTATTCAACTATTTCCATTCTTCCTTTTCTTTGACCCCAATAAGACTATCTATTGACCTGGCTACTCTCCACCAGCTCTTCACTTCTCTTCACTGTCTTCTGTACTCAGCTTAGATTTCCTAATCCATCATTTCAATAACATGCATGCTGATACTCAACATGTTCCTCAACTCTGTTTTTCATTCCATCTTTTTGGCAAAATCCCAGGCATGGGTGAATCCAACTATGCAAGTTTTCTGGATCAGTCCTAAACAGCTGGCTGAGCAGTGCTGGAAGGAGTCACACAAAAGCGGTGTATTACACTACAAATCCATGTTCATTAACTTCAAGTGGGGCCACACCACGGTTCAGCAATCCTGCCACTTTTCACAGATCTAAGTACAAAGTGGTTTCAAACTCTCCACCCTGCAACCCTCTGACCCACAGTACTCCTGTTTCAGCAAATGATTTTGTTTTCTCCTTCCGAAGGAAAAAGCAGCCTCCAGATGTAACTCTTTCATCTTCCTGCTACCAAAAATAAAAACTTACCAACATCTTCCTCTCTGTTATTTATGGATTTATCCTTACTACCAAGGTTAGTCCCTCCACCAGTGCTTTGTGGTCCCATCACCCTGTGTCTTTTCAATGACTTTCATTAACTACCCTCCCACCTCTCACACAGTCACCTTGCCCGTCTAGCAGACTCTTTTTACAAGCTATTAACTTTTTCAAGACTCTACTGTTTAAACAAACATAGACCTACTTTGAGTCCACATCCCCCCTCATCTGCCCAGTCTCTCCTCTCTCCTTCAAAGCCAAACTTTTGGAGAGTGGTGTCTATGCCCCATGCTCCATTTCCTTACAATCTGTAATCTAGCACCTTCCCATTCTGATCTCTTTAACGTATGGCTTACGTTACTCCATTTCCTCCAACACACTTATATCAAATAACATGAACAGCAATATGTGGTCTCTGTTCTTACATCAAATTTTGGGGTCACTATTTAGCATAAACACAATTATACCGAAATTGGTCACAGACGATCTAAATAGTGTTCCAGGAATATGATTCCATTCTTTTGTAGGTTTTAAATTTTCTAAGAGAAGATACTTGCCTAAGTTTTCCATGTACATATCACTTGCTTAGGGTTCTTTTGCTTATCACTAATTCTTCAAACTCTGAGAGAACAGCAAAACTCCTGCTATGGATGGATACTCAGGTAATCTGCAAGTTCCATTTATCCCTCCTGGAGCCCTCTGCCCTCCTGCTCATACCTGGACCTTTGACTAACTCCCCTTTACCATGATCCAAGGAACTCCTTTTGCTTCTTGATATGATGGACCCTACATCTCCAGGTCTTTTGGCTACTTGTCTGGGTTTTGGTAAAGTGTATCTTTTAGTTGCTAACAGAAAAATTTGCATGACAGATACACTTTTTTGGAACCCAAAATTTCTGAAAATGTCTTTATTCTATACAAACAATTATGGTTATCTGGGCATAGACTCCTAAACTGAAAATAATCTTTCAGACTTCTGAAGGCAATACTTCTTTGCCTTCTTCCTCTGATATTACTGTTAAGCAGCCCAATTTTTTTTTCTTTTTTTTTGAGACGGAGTTTCACTCTTGTGGCCCAACCTGGAGTACAGTGGTGCGATCTCAGCTCACTGCAACCTCCGCCTTCCGGGTTCAAGTGATTTTCCTGCCTCAGCCTCCACCAGTAGCTGGGATTACAGGCATGCACCACCACGCCTGGCTAGTTTGTATTTTTAGTAGAGACAGGGTTTCACCATGTTGGGTAGGCTAGTCTTGAACTTCTGACCTCAGGTGATCGGCCCACCTCGGCCTCTCAAAGTGCTGGGATTACAGGCATGAGCCACCGTACATGGCTCCCAATGTCATTTTGATTTGTCACTATTTGTACATGGATATTTTTTTCTCTCCCATATTCCCATGCCCCCTCCAAATCTTTAGAATTCTTTGTTAATCTATAATGTTTTGAAATTTAGTTATAATGAACCTTCGAATGAATCTAACTTTTCAACCGATTATGTCAAATGCTTAGTGGGTTCTTCTCTATAATGTCACATCCTTCAGTTCCGGAATATTCGCTTTGCTGTTTCTTTAATAGTTTCCTCTCCTATGTTTTCTCTGTTCTTTTTTCTTAGAAATTGTATTAGTTGAATGTTTGATATCTAGGTTTGATAATTTTATTATTCTTATTTCCATACATTTGTTTTATTGTGGGTTTTTTGGTTCCGTTTTGGAGAAGATTTTCTTAATGTTACCTTCCAAATATTTTACTCATTTTAAATTCTGCCACACTAATTTTAAGCCTAATAACTCTTATTTATTAGTTCTTACCTTTGTATTGATAGAAATTCATGGTTATATTTTTTCATCTTTCTAAATAATTAGTTTTTTAGAAATTTTTATTTCTTATATTGTCTGTTTCCTGTGAGAATGCCCCCAACCCCACCCTACACCCCATTTGTTTGTTTTAGTCTCTGCCTTTCTAGACAGAAGCAATGCTCAAATGCAGGCGTTCATGGCTCTCTCTTCCTATTCAAGCAGTAAGTGTTAAAATGACTGGAGCCCTTTGGATGGTGCAGTGCACGTTAATTAATGGCCTCACAGTAATATGAGGGCAGCCTCAATCATTTCACTGGATGATCCTTTGAAAGTAAGTATATGTAAGTCTTTTCTCTTGTACCTAGTCCATTTCCTGCAGTGAGATTCTCTAGTCTCATGCCTGGGAGATATAACCGTTTCAATGGAAGATGCTTTGAAAGCTAGTATCCATAGTCTTTTCTCTTGTCCCTGTCCATCTCTTACAAAGGGATTCTCTAATTTTCTGCCTAGGTAATATAAGCCTGGATTCTAGTATTCTGGGAATGAAGAGAGAAGGGAGACATTTGGTATGCAAATTTTCACTCTCTTGATTTTTCCATGGCCACAATCTCTCTTTCTCCTTTACCAGTTAATCTTCAATTAAGCCAAATGCTGGAGCTTCTTACAACTCTGTCATTGGCTTTGTCTTTTTGCATTCTATCTATACTATCCACCTAAACAACCTAATCTCTATATTTCAAGTAACATACTTAAGATTATATTTCGGTCCATAAAGCAAATCAAGCCCCTGACTTCCATTCACAACCCATGTGAATCCCACACTTGGACTTCTCAGAAGTACCATAAATTCAGGATATCAGAATCTAAACTGGCAATTGTCCCTTTCAAGCCTGTGAAGTCCTGATGATTCTACTTCTACGCAACACATCGAATTCAAAAAACTGAACAAGCCTGGGTTTCATTCTGGACAGCTCCCTCTCCTCTACCCCTCATACTGATTCTCCTACCAATTTTACCTCTCACTGGCTACTGAAACCATCTACTTCTTTATATTTCCACATCACCACCTTGGTCCATGCTCCCATTCTCTATTGCTAGGACTCGGACAATAGCCTGCTGCCTGGTCTTCTGCTACTACCCACTTTCACCATTTCTCCACAGGACAGTGAGGGTCATCTGTACAAACACAAATGTGATGTTATTGTACTTCCTGTAAAAAACCACTGGTCTAAGGACCAAAATCCTGAACAAAGTCCAGGTGGGCTGTAAGATCAGATCCCATCTTTCTCTCTATGCTCATTTCTAACACATTTTTATTCACTCTCAGAGTCTGATAAACACTGGCCTTTTTCGTTTTCATGAAGGTTTCCTGCTTCTTTCCATTCCCAATGCTTTTGCACATGCTAGCCCCTCTATCTGGTATGATTGCTCCTTTCTTTTAGCCTGTTTGTATCTCAGATCCTGGCGCAAGCATCCAACCTCAGGAAACTAACCCCAACCTCTTTGGCTCAGTGATTCAGCAAACTTCCCCTAACAGTGCTCATTACACAGGCATCTATTTATAAAAATTTATCATGCATTACACTTATGACACGTGTACTTTTCTGTATGCATGCTAGGTTTCAATAAAAAGTTTTTAAAATTCCCTTAAGTACCACATAGCTTACCTTCATATTATGTATTAAAGTCACAATGGCACATATATTCCTATGACTCATGTATTTATCCCTTAACAGCATCTAAGCTCCCAAAGGACAACAACTTTGTCTAATGGCAGCAGCACACTGCATGGCATACAACAGGCACCCAAACATTTTTTAATGTAAAATTGAAAGCTGAGGAGTGAAAATATATTGTACTACCAGGAAATATGCTGACTTTCTTTTTCTAGAATAGGAACGTTTAAACAAGCAGGCTTCAGGGTCTCCATAAATTTTGAAAATTATATGCAGATGTTTATATGTATTTAAATATGAACCTACCTTTCCCTAAGGAATGAATCCAACATTTCACCAGATCTCAGAGGGTAGTACCACCCAAAAAGGTTAAGGACCACTATTCTGGACTCGGCCAGAATTTGATAGCTTGTATCCACCTCATGATAAACAAAATAGGAAATTTTGACATCTATTGCAAAGTGTATTATCCTGGTATCCAAAGCAAAATATAATTTCCTATTATTAAATTTAAGTCCTTGAGATTCTTCCATGCTGATGACATGTCTTGATTTTAAATGCCAGTGTTAATCCAGCAATGTAGAGGTTTGTGCTGAGTGCAAGGTAAATATGTGTGAAGATAAAAAAGACTGACAAGGACAACGACACTTATAGGGCATTCATACTGGGAAGAAACAGAGAAGAATGTGCTTTAGTCCTTTTTATGTCAACATGCAGCAATGGCTCATTGCCTCAAAACACACGTCCCCAAAAGAGACCTGTAAGTGCATCAGGCAAAAGGCTCTATGGATGCTCAGGCAAAAAGATCCTCTTCCCAGCAAATTTAAATAGCCTTCCCCTGGAATACGCCAATGAAAGGATCCTGTATCCACTCTCCACAATTACTTCTCTGTGTTTCACAGGAAGCCAGCGGAAAATGAACCTCAGTGTAGAAGTCAAGTCTGGATTTGGGAGTGTATATGCTGCAAACTATTTCAAGCAATTATTTTGTATGAAAATATGCAAATTTAGCCATATTTTAGCAAAATGTAATTAAGCTCATTTTCAAATGTATTAAAATGACTATCTGCTCAACATGTGTAATTATTTTATATAGGGAGTGCTGACAAATTGCACTAATTAATTAAGGGTAGAAAACTATAAAACTCTATCTACGAATAATATATGCTAAATTCTAATCATCCCTGCCACCTATGTCGCCTCAACACACAATACACACAAATGCACTTTAAAGTATTTCCCAGTGGTGTTGCTTTGGTTTTAAGTATTGTCCAAATTGAACCAACTCTTGGTGTTCCCAAGGAGAATGCTGAGTAAGGGCTGAAGTACAGTTTATTTAAATGAGGGCTATCACTATCTCCACCTTTTTCAGATGTACAGGCTGGGATTCCAATCCCATGTGTGCCACAGAGGACAAGCTACCATCATCTCCCTGAGCCTCAGTTTTCTCATCTGTAAAACTGAGATGGTGATGGTGGGCTGAATATTTTTCATTGGTACTCAGCCTCTACTGACTCATCTATAATCTACTCTCTACTGCAGAGATAGAAAGCCTGGAAATTTTATATTCCTGGACACTTTGCCAGCTGGGTTCTAGTTAAGAGAGACTCCAGTTAGATCTGAAGGCAGAGAACAGGAAAAGTTATTTTCCTTCTAGTTGTACCTGTGGCATCAACTCTTGCACTCCTGAGAAGTGGGGGTTCTTTGTTCGGCTACAGTGGTGGTATCTCCAGCAGTGTCAGCAAGAGTGGTCCCTGTCTAGCATCCATCACGGTGCCTGCAGCATTGTCAGCAGCAAGCACAGGCTCAGGATTGCCTGCTCAAAGGTGGAAGCGGCTTCTGGTCTCCAGGTAACACCCACTTCTCTCTTTGCATTCCTTCAGTCCAGAGGCAGTAAAAGCAGCTAGATCTCTTGAGTTACACCACTCTCTGCTTTTTGCACCTTCAATCCTACTTATACCTTTGCACCAATTCCCTACTTAATCCCCCTCTGCTAGAATCACATCATGCCTGAATACAAATGCCATTTCCCAAAGGGTTATTATTGGGATTACATGAGATAATATAGAGCAAGCACTTTGCTCAGTACTTGGAATATGGCAATACCAAACAAATGCCTACTATTACCCTATTATTCTGTCTAATCATTGTTGGACCTGATCTAGCACCCTCATGTCAGTCCTACTACATGAAGGTAATATAGACCCTTCTCTTCTTAACCATCAAAGGATTTCAGTGAAGTTGAACTTGGTTTCAGAAAGCTGGGGGCAAAGCTCTGGGAAACTAGCAGAAGCAAAAGGGATCAAGCAGGAAAAGGCCAGCAAGTGTGTATTAACTAGGGCATAGGTGAAAGAAGGGCTTGGCTTCCAAACCTGCAGTGTGCACAAAAAGAGTCTTGATGGTTACCTGACATCATGAACTGAAACTTCTTGTAAGTATAAAAGTCATTTAGGCTGGGTGCAGTGACTCATGCCTGTAATCCCAGCAATTTGGGAGACTGAGGTGGGAGGACTGCTTGAGGCTAGGAATTCAAGACCAGCCTGGGCAACATAACAAGTGAGACCCCATCTCTACTTTAATTTATACATTTTTATTTTTTTAAAAAAGGAAAAAGAGGCCGGGCGCGGTGACTCATGCCTGTAATCCCAGCATTTTGGGAGGCTGAGGCAGAGGGATCACGAGGTCAGGAGTTCGAGACCAACGTGGAGAAACCCTATCCCTACTAAAAATAAAAAAATTAGCCGGGCCTGATGGCGCATGCCTGTAATCCCAGCTACTCAGGGGGCTGAGGCAGGAGAATCGCTCGAACCCAGGGGGCAGAGTTTGCAGTGAGCCAAGATCATGCCACTACACTCCAGCCTGGGCATCAGAGCGAGACTCCATCTCAAAAACAAAAACAAAAACCACAAAAACCAAAAAAAGGAAAAAGTCATTTATACAATGCCAATTATGTAGGTACTCAAAATAAAACACAGTCCCTGCCATGTAGGAGTGAAAAGAATTTCACTGATGAGTCATTTCTACATCTTCCTCTCTTGTACCTGTCACACTGCCCAGCCTGCTTTGCAGAGAGGTCCAAAACTTCCAGCTAAGAACTTTTTAAATTAAGCATACACACACAAATATTATCCCTTCAAACACTCTACCCGTATAGGTAAAATGTAACAGGATTCATTTTTTTCTGTGCTTTAAAAGGCGTTTTTCAGCTAAAAAGGCTTATCTTTAAGTGTAGTTTTGTCTTCTCAGGTAGAAACACTTAATATGTTTTATATATTAACATATACTATCTCGTCTGGGCGCAGTGGCTTACACCTGTAATCCCAGCACTTTGGGAGGCCGAGGCGGGTGGATCACCTGAGGTTGGGAGTTCGAGACCAGCCTGACCAACATGGAAAAACCCCTACTAAAAATACAAAAAAATCAGCCGGGCGTGGCAGCACATGCCTGTAATCTCAGCTACTGGGGAGGCTGAGGCAGGAGAATCGCCTGAACCCAGGAGGCGGAGGTTGCAGTGAGCTGAGATCGTGCCACTGCACTCCAGCCTAGGCAACAAGAGTGAAACTCCGTCTCAAAAAAAAAAAGATATACTGTCTCTACTTTGTAATATACTATATATAATACATATTTTTATTATATATTATATACTATTTTTAGACACATTATTCATAAATAGAATACAGAAAGCAAGTTCCTGCCAATATTTTATGAAATTATTCTCTAAAACTCTGGCTGTTTACGATAAATACTTCAGGATTCCTAACTTATTTTATGTCAAAAAGAGTAAGCTGCTTGTTATCTTGGAGAGAAACAGTAATGTCGGTATAAGAATCACCTATTATAAAGTCAGGCCTGGGACAAAATGCTTCTGTTGAAAGCTGCTAACAGAGAGATTGTGTTCCGCTTACCTCCTCCTCACAGGCTGTACAGAATCATTGTCACTTCCACAGGAGGGGTTTCGGCGACGCGTGTAAGGGAACTTTGGCGACTTAGTGCGATCACTGGGAGAATTGTAGAGTCCACTGGAGAGAAAGAAAAATGGTCAAAAAGAGCCCAGAGAGTTCCTGGGGGAAAACACACCGCAGCCCAGACCTATTCATAACTGCACAGCTGGTACTTCCAGAGGCACATGCACCAGGGGCACGTGGTTCTCTTTGCTGACAAGATTTATTAAAAGAAAAGAGGTAAGATCTGGCAAATCAAATCATAAAGGTCATTATTTTGCAGGAATGCCATTTGTCTCACTAGCCTTCAGTAGTAAAAAATGAACACACACAAATAACAATAACAATTCATACATATGATGAATTTAGCCCTTTCTAAACACTGACTCAGCTAAAGACTTTACATTCATTATCTCAGCTAATCTTCATATCAGCCTTCAGCACTGAGATACAACTATTAAACCTATTAAACAGAAAAAAAATTGAAATATAGACTACTTAATTAAGTGGCCCAAATAAAGTAGCTAGGAAGTGGCAGGGCTAGAATTTGAACTATAAGTTACAACACAGGTCTGTCACTGGTTTGGTAGTTGTGACCAGAGATACACTAGACATATCCATATTTTTAGGAATAAAGGTCTTCCAGCATAACTATTCATCAGCTATAGTTTTTGACTTAAGTTTTTAACCAAAACTATGAAATGGGGAAAATTATTAATATGCCATTTAGAGTTTTCAGAAATATATTACCTTACAGGCAATTTCATAATATTTCCTAGGTTTCCCTTTTGCCTTTCCAGGAAAAAGTTTCATGTTATAAAACATACTGTTGATTTCCACTTCAGAAATCCCAGCCCCTCTCCCCTGGGTCACATTGATTTAGAGTCTGCCCACTTTATCCACAGCTAGCTGTGATCAGCCACCCAGCAGCTGGATTCCTTTATTCAATGAGCTGCATGTACTAACCCCTTTTCTACTGTCTCCTTTATAAAAACAATGATTCCCTTTACCTCTGGGGGCCATTTTCTTCCCACGGTGCATGAGATTTGCTTCTTTGGGTATCAGGGCTATTTTCATTCTTTGCTTTCTTAAAGCTTTAATTTTAAAAAAAAGTATGAGAAATAAATTAAGTAGAAAATAAAAGTAAACTCACATACTTATTTGTTAAGTAAAACTTTTTAACAAATGTTAAGATGTGCACACTTATTTGCTTGTTTATACCTGTGACTCTAAAAAGAACATGAAGTCGCTGCCCATAAAATCTGTCTCCAGCAAGTACCTTTGGGTCTTTCCCCCCTCTTTCTTTCTAGTTTTACTGCTTTAGTCAACAGATGCCAGGTCCATCAATTGTTAAGAAACTCTAGAGTCCACCTGCAGGAGAGGCAGCAAGGGGAACCACAGAGCCAAGAAAATAAGAAAGCCAAGGAGGAAGGACCTGGGCTACCCAGGATCTTCAGCCTGGCTCCCTTTTTACAACAGTGATCAGAGAAGCCCTTACTCCAGGCACGGGTCTGAATCCACACAGGTCGGTCAGCCCCGGGCAGGTTCAGGCTATTCAAACTGACCTTTTCCTGGCTTCCGCCTTATCTTGGCTTCATCCCTCCAGATGAGAATGACTTTCAAATGCTATTTCCTGACCTAGTATCATCTTTCAGTCCTAAGAATGTAAATGTAACTGAGTTGTTCTACCCTCAACAAATTGTTTTAGAAACCCCTGGGGAGACATGGAGGAAGGGACTAATCAGAAGCCTCCAGGCACCAGTGGGGAGGGGTGTGTCACCTCTCACATCCTCAGGAGTCTTAGCTTAAGATAAAGATAGAGCTATTTAACTCCAAATCCACTTTTAACCCTGGCTTTTTGAGGAATCCTCTGTATAACTGTCCTAGGATAGGGTCATAGAGGAGTACTTTGTAACAGCCAACAAAGAGGAGAGAGGAAAGATGACGAGGTATTAAAAAAAAAAAAAGACTTGCACCCTAGTATACTATCCATGATGGAATTAAAGTAAGCCTATAAAATTTTGTATCTGACAGAGGCATATAACCCATAGTATTAGTAGATGGCAGCTTAGTTTATTATTTTTATAAAGGCTAAAAACCTCTACAGATTCAATTCCCAAAGTAAAAGCTTACCTTTTGAAATGATGAAAATTAACAAATATGGCAGATATTTAATACGATAGTAGAAAGTGTATGGGATCAATAAATCAGAAAAAGCAAAGAGAAGGGAGAAGGGAGACTGGAAAAGAAATAGGGAGATAAAAGAGGAACTGAGAGAGTATACAAAAGTTAAAGAATAATAAAATCCTGGGTGACAAGTTAATTGCATTCACACCCTAAGGTATTTCTCATCTGAAGCTTGAGAGGAAAACTTTGGTGGTGCTTCAAGTACCAGTATCATCACAGGAATGTGGTTGCAAAGGGGATTGAAAAATATTGTTAAAATGGCCATACAGCCCAAAGCAATATACAGATGCAATGCTATTCCTATCAAACTACCAACATCATTTTTTCACAGGAAAGAACTATTCTAAAATGGACCCTCCCTCCAAAAAAGCCCAAACAGCCAAAGCAATTCTAAGCAGAAAGAACAAAGCTGGAGGCATCACACTACCTGACTTCAAACTGTACTACAAGGCTACAGTAACAAAAACAGCATGGTATGGTACAAAAACTGACAAAAAGACCAATGCAATAGGATAGAGAACCCAGAAACAAAGTCATACACCTACAACCATCTGATCTTCAACAAAAGCAACTAGAACAAGCAATGGGGAAAGGACTCCCTAAATGGTGCTGGGATGGCCAGTCATATGCAGAAGAGTGAAACTGGACCTCTTCCTTTTACTATATTCAAAAATCCACTCAAGATAGATTAAGAACTTAAATGTAAGACCTCAAACTATGAAAATACATCTTAGAAGAAAACCTAGGAAATATCATTCTGGACATCAGCCTTGGTGAAGAATTTATAACTAAGTCCCCAAAAGCAATTGCAACAAAACCAAAAATTGACAAGTGAGACTTTAAAGAGCTTCTGCACAACAAAAGAAACTATCAACAGAGTAAACAGACAATCTACAGAAAAGGAGAAAATATTCACAAACTATGTATCTGACAAAGGTCTAATATCCAGAATCTATAAGGAACTTCAACAATTCAACAAGATGAAACAAACAATGCCATTAAAAAATGGGCAAAGGACATCAACAGGCACTTTTCCAAAGAAGACATACATGCAACCAACAAATACATGAAAAAATGCTCAACATCATTAATCATTCGAAAAAAGCAAATTAAAATCACAATAAGACACCATCTCCCCAGTCAGAATACCTATTATTAAAAAGACAAAAAATAAAGATGTTGGCAAGATTGTGGAAAAAAGGGAACACTTTTACACTGTTGGGGGAAATATAAATTAGCTCAGCCATTGTGGAAAGCAGTTTGGAGATTTCTCAAAGAACTTAAAACAGAACCACCATTTGATCCAACAATTCCACTACTGGATATATACTCAAAGGGAAACAAATCATTCTACAAAAAAAGACATATGGCTGGGCGCAATGGCTCACACCTGTAATCCCAGCACTTTGGGATGCCAAGGCAGGCGGATCCCGAGGTCAAGAGATGCAGACCATCCTGGCCAACCTGGTAAAACCCCATCTCTACCAAACCTACAAAAATTAGCTGGGAGTGGTGGCACACGCCTGTAGTCCCAGCTACTTGGGAGGCTGAGGCAGGAGAATCGCTTGAACCCAGGATGCGGAGGTTGCAGTGAGTCAAGATGGTGCCACTCCACTCCATCCTGGCAACAGAGGGAGACTCCATCTCAAAAAAAAAAAAAAAAAAAGACACATACACTTACATGCTCATTGCAGCACTATTCACAATAGCAAGGACATAGAATCAGCCTAGATGACCATGAACAGTGGACTGGATAAAGCAAATATGGAACATATACACCATGGAATACTACACAGCCATAAAAAAGAATGAAACCATGTCCTTTGCGGCAACACGGACGCAACTGGAGGCTATTATCCTAAGTTAATTAACACAGAAACAGAAAACTAGATACTGCATGTTCTCACTTATAAGTGGGAACTAAACATTGAGTACACATGGACATAAAGATGGGAACAATAGACACTGGGGACCACTAGAGGAGGAGAGGGGGCAAGGGTTGAAAACTACCTATCACGTACTGTGCTCACTACCTGAGTGATGGGATCATGCATACACCAAACCTCAGTGATAAACAATTTACCCATGTGACAAACCTACTGGCACACGTACCCCTGGACCTAAAATAAAAGTTGAAAAAATAAATTTTTAAAAGGAGGATTGTACTCCTTCTGCACATTCTAAAAAAGCGTGGGATCTGAATCTCATGGAAGATTCCTGTTCTTATGCTGAACATACCACAAGCATACCCTGTACATACAGATGAAGCTGAATCTCTATCCACAGCTTGAGGGTGACTAAGGGAAATACAGTAAACTAAAGTTATGCAATGATAAAGAACTTGTCATCCTAAAAGGAGAACCAGTAAATGTCTTAGAACCAAACAAAACATAGGCAAATCCCTGCGTAAAATATTAAAACTCTGAGAATCTTCAGATCTTAAAGTTATCTTGCTGAGAAATTATGAACTATACTCCTCAAAGTAGCCACAATACAGCTGAATGAAGCCACTATTATTTACCAAAAAAATATCAAGTAGATGATCTAAGAAGTCTTTGCAGGTCACATATCTCTGATTGCTGGGATTTCCCCATGATGTATGGGGGGCAACCCCTATAGAGAAAGTGAGCTCATGAAAGCTGCTCATTGTTGTTTATAATGCTGTTCCGTGAACATAATTGGAGAGAAGAAAAAATGACTCTGCAACAGTGTCTTAACAGAAAACAAGGCTTAGCTCTCAGGGAAACAATCCATGTAATATATTAAGAGAAGGCTTTTCCACTGGGGAATGCCCCCTGGGAAAGCAGATGCAGAGGACCATGACAAGTCTTCATACATATGCAATCACTGACTTCTGAGGATCTGATGCCTCTAAATGCCATAAACCCTCTTTCCAGGGCTACAGTTCAGTGCACCACTATAATGAACACAGTACATTAAACATGAATATCATCTACTTTATTTTACAAGTCCCTCTGAGTTAGTCCATTATATCATGCCATTTTCAAAATCACAAGAAATTTTTAATTTTCTGCGGAGAATGCAGACCACAGACAATCTGTGAGTTCACCTTGTGACAAAAAGAGCACTTTCTTCAAATAAGAGAGTCAGGTCCTGATGTTTTATATTTCATTGGTGTTTTAATGTATTATTTGGCCCAGAGATTTATTGGATCCCATGGATCAAAAGTATTCATTAATCATCAAAGTTAAAAGATTTTTAACCTTGTCTACAGAAAAAAAGCATTTTTACAACAGCATATAATTGTACGTTTCTTCAGTTAACTTCACTGACCTTTTTACTGGTGAAGGTGCAATAATTTTAATTGTTCCTTCATTTTCTCCATTTTCCATGTTTGCAGTTATCCTACTGATGCTGTTTGATTCTAGCAGAGGAGGAGAAGGAAAGATGGAAGAGAGAGGAAACAGTGATAAGGAAATGAAAGAAACAGAAGACTTATTTTAAAATGCAATTTTAGGGACACTGTGGCACATTTTATTGATAAATTATAACCCCAAATAAATAATGAATCACCCAATAAATTGGAGGTACTATTTTCTAACGTGTACTAAACCCTCAACATAACAATGTCCTGGGAGTCTAGGCTATTTTTTTCAGACTTTAAAACTAAGTCTCCACATCTTTAGATGTTAAAATAACATTCACTTTAGACTATTAAAATGATATTCTGAGATATTTAGTACCATATATTAGAATATAAAACATAATGATCAGGTTTTGATGACTACTTGTGAAGAAGTTTCTCAGCATATCATGACAGTCCCCATTTGAAATCAAACCAAACAAAAAACTTCAAACCTGAAAATATCCCAACTCATAATGCAGCTGTCAAAAAAAGAGTAATATACATGTGATCTGTATCACTCACATATAAAAAAAAGACATTTTCAAATGTGTTCTTCATGCAAACATTCCTAAAAATCTGAAACTGAATTTTTAAAAGTTGTTATTCCATAGATTTGCATACACGCTAGAGGAACCAGCAGAGGGAGCCCATGGCAGACACAATGTTGGAAGTCATGATCGAAATAAAGATAACTGAAGGGTCTGGGCCCATGTAGGAGGTCAGGCTTCCACTCTCAGGGCAGAGGTAGATAAGCCTGCAGAAGTGAGGTGTGTGGGCTCTGGGAACAACTCTTCTCCAGTGTGCATGTACCTCACTCAAGGAGGAGGCAGTTTAGATGATCAGGGGAAATCAGCATGCACAGATGCCCACAGGCCCTGTTCAATTAGGTCTATGTGCCATACAGGTGTGTCTTCCTCGGAGCTACTCCTGCAGGGGTAATAGTTACGGTCCTTCAATCCAATGCATAACGGTCACTAACCACCGAGAATGTCATGAAGATGAGTTTGTAACATTAATAAGCACTAATATTTATTGAGTACTTACTATGTGTCAGGTACTATTACAAGCGCTTCACATCTATTTACTCATGTATCCTCAAAATAATCCTATGAAGTAGATATCAATGTTATCTCATTTTAAAAGATTTAAAAAAAATGGGCCTTTCTCAAGGTCCCACAGCTCCTGAGTGGTGGGGCAAGCTTTGAAGATGGGCAGTCTGGCTCCACAGACTTAGCTCTGAACCACACACTACTTCCACCTGTGGCCCCACAAGCAGCTCAAGAGTCAGTCTAGATTAGGAGTCAACTGGGAGAGACAGACTCTTAAAAGGGCAAGTGGGCCAGGCGCAGTGGCTCACGCCTGTCATCCCAGCACTTTGGGAAGCCGAGGCGGGCGGATCACGAGGTCAGGAGTTCAAGACCACTCTGGCCAACAAGGCAAAACCCCATCTCTACTAAAAATATAAAAATTAGCTGGGCATGGTGGCGCATGCCTGTAATCCCAGATACTCAGGAGGCTGAGGCAGGAGAATTGCTTGAACTGGGACCCGGGAGGTGGAGGTTGTAGTGAGCTGAGATTGCGCCACTACACTCCAGCCCTGGCTACAGAGCGAGACTCCGTCTCAAAAAAAAAAAAAAAACCCACACAGCAAGTGAAAGTGATGTTCAATGAGAAGAACACTTCAGAGCAAGGCAAGAGGACAAGACAAGAGAAACACCTGAGCACCCTCAAAGTTGGCAAGTTTCCTCCAGAGCAGTTGGGAAGTATGTCTGGCTTACCCATCAGGAAAGATAAACATTAATAAATACACTTTAGACAGAGAAAACAAAGGGTGGTTTCAGATAAGAGTTCCAAAAACTGTTACTCTAAGGCATTTGACATGGGATTCCATATCTGAATTGTGTTCCTATTTTGGAATCTTGAAATGAAAAGGTGAGCCTGAAGACACCTGTGGCACAAAAGGTAAGCTCATGCTGGAGCCACTACCAATAACTGAGCAACATCCAGAAGCCAGGAATAAGAAAAGACTAATGTTAGGGTAAATTCTGCCTGGTGTGATAAATGGAACACAACCAATTAATTCCCTGGAACTACTCCACGTGCCATCAAACGTCAGCAGTGGCCAGTCACCATCTTAGTCAATTTTGCCATAACCATGTGACCATTAACAAAATCACAAGGGCAGATTCTCAAAATTGCAGGCAAAGATTTGGGATGAAGCTGCTTCTCACAGGTAGAACTCCATGTGGTACACGTCTGGGGCAGTGGCAGAAGGGACTAATTCATTTAGGTCCTAGACAGTAGGTGTGCCCTACCATTAGTTGTTTTTGTTTTTTTTTTTCTCCTGAGACAGAGTCTTGCTTTGTCGCCCATGCTGGAGTGCAGTGACATGATCTCAGCTCACTGCAACCTCTGCCTCCTCGGTTCAAGCAATTCTCCTGCCTCAGACTCCCAAGTAGCTGGGATTACAGGCGCATGACACTGAGTCCAGCTAATTTTTTTATAATTTTAGTAGAGACAGGGTTTCACCATCTTGGCCAGGCTGGTCTGGAACTCCTGACCTCAAGTGATCCACCCACCTTGGCCTCCCAAAGTGCTGGGATTACAGGTGTGAGCCACTGTGCCCAGCCCCCTAACATTAGTATTTTTAATTGTTCTTAATAACCTTTATTTAAATGTGGTGGTATTCTTAGCAGATATTACTAATATTTAATATAAATGAAAAGGAGCTTCATGTCCTAGGGCTGTTTTCCTAGGCTGGGAGAGGGGGCCACAGCAGAGAGACCAATACCCAGTGTCAATAACACCAACTGAAAAAAGCTGAGTAAAGGTGAACATCCTGTTAACCAAGGCCCTGAGTAACTAGCTTAAGAAAAGACCTAGGTTTGCTCCCACCCTCATTCTCTTTAGACTGACTACTTTTTTCTTAGTCTAACAATCAATTACTTTAGGAAAAGTGCCTAATCACCTTCACCTGTTTCCCTTCCATCCAAAAATTAACAGAGAAAAACAGAATATTTTTAAAAAGAAAAATTGCAAACTATGTTTATATATTTGCTTAAAGAAAGCAATATTTGGTTTTTCACAATGTCTGAATCATAATTTTTAAGATGAAGCATTATTTGGATGGTTTTCCAAAAGAATTTCAGGAAAAAAAAATCATGTGAGTGCTCTTTGTCACAAACACTCACAACCAGCATAGCCAAACTTTTTCAAAATAAATTGTTCTACTGTCAGGACTAATTTACTAATGTGACAGTGCTATAACTCTCATATACCCACTGTAGACGAGATAAGGTATAATCAGTAATATGACTTAATTCATGGTTCCTTTATATTCAAAATGGTAATCTACTGTTCACTGTTAACATGTACAGTTTTTTTTTTTGTTTTTTTTTTTTTAAGATAGACTCTTGCTCTGTCACCCAGGCTGGAGTGCAGTGGCACGATCTCAGCTCACTGCAACCTCTGCCTCCTGGGTTCAAGTGATTCCCTTACCTCAGCCTCATGAGTAGCTGGGATTACAGGCATGCACCACCACGCCCGGCTAATTTTTGTATTTTTAGTAGAGATGGGGTTTCACCATGTTGGACAGGCTGGTCTCAAACTCCTGGCCTCAGGTTATCTGCCCGCATCACCTCAGCCTCCCAAGGTGCTGGGATAACAGGCATGAGCCACCAAACCCAGCCAACATGTACAGTCTTTTTATATGAACTAAATATCTCTTCATCTGTACTCCCCTACTCTATAACAAATGTGAACTAGACAAGCCTGGGTTTTAAAAGCCTTATTAGGAAGACTACATGGGGAAAAACCACTTAGAAGCATTAACTTACTGGGAGCACTTCTGAAGTATCCATTCATATAATAGTCACATGCCTTCATTAGGCAATATGTTTTAGTTTTATGTCACTAAATATGTAATCTAAAAGCAGTAAATATACTTTCAGAATAATATATTTTAACCACTGTCCAAATTAGTAAGATTTTACCATACCACCATTTGAGATAGCTAATCAATTCAGTAAAGCTAGGTTATATGTTGGTGATTGAAATCTGCAGAGGTGAGAAATTTAGGTTATGCATTATTTAGGTTTACTGACTTTCCATTTTGTTAACATGGACCACTAAATTTTCCTTTTCCTCCCCTCATCATACCACCTTCCAGAATCCCTCCTACATCAGCTCAGACTCGGGCTACAGAGAAAAGTGACCTGACAAATCCATCCCACTAATGGGCTTATGTCTTCATGTATTATGTACCACAGAACAGTTCCATTTTGAAGATGAGTAAAAGGAAAGACCAAATATTAACTAAAATAATTAACCAATAACAAGGGAATTTCAGGCACTGTTCCAGAAAATATTTGGAGGTTAGATAAATCTTTCCCCACCACCACTGCTTTTTCATTTAAATATCAGACATAAGAAAAGGGTATAACATACATATATAAACAGCTTAACAAATAATCATACAGTAAACCACCACCCACTTCAAGAATTAAAACACAGAGGGCAGCCGGGCGCGGCGGCTCACGCCTGTAATCCCAGCACTTTGGGAGGCCGAGGCGGGCGGATCATGAGGTCAGGAGATCGAGACCATCCTGGCTAAAGCAGTGAAACCCCATCTCTACTAAAAATACAAAAAAAATTTAGCCAGGTGTGGTGGTGGGCACCTGTAGTCCCAGCTACTCGGGAGGCTGAGGCAGAAGAATGACGTGAACTCAGGAGGCGGAGCTTGCAGTGAGTGGAGATCGCGCCACTGCACTCCAGCCCAGGCGACAGAGCAAGACTCCATCTCAAAAGGCAAAAACAAAAGAAAAAAAACACAGAGGGCAATTTTCCTGCACTTCACAATCATCTCATTTGGGGCAATTCTTTACTTTCTAGATAAAGTTAAACAGTTGCTTTCTGCCTAAAATATCTGGAAACACAGATTATTCTGTGTTTCATTTCATAAAATATTTGACATATAAAACAAAATTATTTTTAAATTAAAAACTTCATAAGGCCTCAAAATCTTAATAAAATGAAGGACACATCATTGTGCACCCACATGGCTGCCAGAACAGTGCACCACCCATGGTAGGTACTCAATGAATGTCTATTATTAGAAAGGATGTATTTCTGTTTCTACCATTTTTGCCACTAGAGAGGAAAATTCAGGATAATGATCTTTATTTAATAAGTGTCAAAAGTAAAACAAAAACTATTAATAGATGTGGTGGTACCTGAGACGCATGTCAAAAGGACATGCGGCAATATACCTTGCAGGACTGGGCTGCTTCTTAGAATTTTAAAAGGCAGTCTTCTGCAGTAGCACACTGCTGTTTCAATTCACAGCCACAGGTGATCTGCAATCAAGATCAGTTATTGACATATGGCTATTAAGGCTTTGAAGTAAATCTGTATTTTACTTCAAGTAAAAATAATAATAACTCTAGTGAGGCCACTTAGAATTAATCAAGAGTGTCCAATTCATTTTACATATTGTTCACATTAAAAAGACAAAGCTTGCTCGGGCGCGGTGGCTCACGCCTGTAATCCCAGCACTTTGGGAGGCCAAGGCGGGCGGATCATGAGGTCAGGAGATCGAGACCATTCTGGTTAACAATGGTGAAACCCCGTCTCTACTAAAAATACAAAAAATTAGCCAGGCGTGCTGGCAGGTGCCTGTGGTCCCAGCTACTCGGGAGGGTGAGGCAGGAGAATGGCGTGATCCCGGAAGGTGGAGCTTGCAGTGAGCAGAGATCGCGCCACTGCATTCCAGCCTGGGCGACAGAGTGAGACTCCATCTCAAAAAAAAAAAAAAACAAAAAAAACAAAAAAAAAACAGACAAAGCTTAATTCCAAAAGGCTGCTCGTATTTTGAAGAGTATGTCAGTCGGGGAGTGCTATCATTTATTAATGAGCCAAATCTAGCTCATGGCCTGTGATATTTGTTTCTGGGCTGTTAGACACCACAGCTTAATATGTGCACACACAATTCCCTGTGGTTTATACAGTACTGAAATGCCAGTGTGCAAAGCTCCAGGGTTTCATTTGTTCGTTTTTAATACACTATATCCAAATACTTCCATCCTGGTGCATCAGACCACTACCAGTCCTTTGAGTGGTTAGATTCTGTTCACATTTGAGTACCTCCATCTTAAGTGATCCTTGCCTTCAGTTCAGGAAGTGTGACTGTCAGAAACAGAATGAACTTTCCCAGGATCTATTTAGCTACTTTATCTGGGGGCAATTCTTAAAAGTCATCCCTGTGATGTCAAGATTTGGTGATGAATATACACGTATTTTCAATTACAAAAATACTTTGCAATTAAATAGGATTACGAGTCTCACAAAATTCATAAGTCAATTTGACACCTGTCAACATAAATCAAATCTTTGATGTTACTTAAATGTTGCCATTCCTTTTAATTTTTAGAGTGAGGGTGAAGGCTGAATGTGTGAAATTAAAATGAAAAAAATGTATTTGGAAAGCGAGAATACCTTATTCTGATATGTGGGGAAAATAACATACAGCTAAACAAGTAAAACAAGGTTGTGACATACACTTTCTTTTAAAAATTCTCAAATATAAATTTATAAACCTTCAGGTTAAATCTTGTCCTACTTAACAATCACATTTTCTTCCCTTAACATAAAAAAAAACTGTATAAAATGCTTAAGACAAATAATAAGATTATAGCTATTCTCAACACAGTAAGTTATTAGGTTTCAGTTAACACAATCTGATTTGCATGACCTAACCCAGTTCAACTTATCAAAAGACATGATATTTGTGAATTAAGAACTGACCAATAATTGAAAATATATTTTAGCTCTATTTCTCACATTGACAGCTCAAAGTGACTTTGCCTTAATTTCACCAACTTTAGACTAGGTACTATGGAAAAAATGGCAGTATAGCAAATTAGCAAAATAAAACATTCTTTTTCTATACCACAAATTACGGCCAAATAGCTAAATATTCAAGAAAACCTTATATAATTTTCCTATCATCATGGAATTTTTTTTTTTTTGAGACAGAGTCTCGCTCAGCCACCCACTCACTGCAACCACAGTCTCCCAGGTTCAAGCGATTCTACCATCTCAGCCTCCCGAGTAGCTGGGATTACAGGCACCCACCATCATGCCCAGCTAATTTTTGTATTTTAGTAGAGATGGGGTTTCACCATGTTGCCCAGGCTGGTCTTGAACTCCTGACCTCAGGTGATCCACCTGCCTCAGCCTCCCAAAATGCTAGAATTACAGGCGTGAGCCACCGCATCCAGCTGGAAAATTTTATATTTGGCAAAACAGATGCTCATTAAATTCTATAAAGCAAAAATAAATATTAAAACATAATTTGGAAAATAAAGATGTTTCTGCATCCAATGGCTAATTGTTTAAGTTCAAACACCTGGCTCATCCCCAAAAGGCAGCCAGATTCCTGCTTAAGAATTCCTGGGCTGAATACAGTAGCTCACTCCTGTAATCCCAGCACTTTGGGAAGACAATGCAGGAGGGTCGCTTGAGGCTAGGAGTTTGAGATCAGCCTGGGCAACATAGTGAGACCTATCTCTACAAAAAAAGTTTTTTTAATTAGCCAGGCATGGTGGCCCATGCTTGTCATCCCAGTTATTGAGACTGAGGCAGGAGGATTGTTTGAACTTGAGAGTTTGAGGTTACAATAAGCCATGATCACACCACTGCACTCCAGCCTGGTGACAGAGTGAGACTCCATTTCTTAAAACACAAAAAATGTTTCTGCCTTCTAAAGTTCCAAGAGTGATATTTAAGCAGTTGCCTTTTTACTAGATATACATAGACTTTTTAGACACCAATTTTGCTACTGCAAGATCAAAGAAGGCATTCTACTGAAAAGCTGGAGGGTAGATTATAAGGAATGGGTGTGGAGGAGAAAGATGCTAGGAAAACATGTCTATGCATGAAAGGCCCCCTCCTGAGTTGTTCTGCTTCCAATTTCCTCTTCCCAGACCCAGTACTCTCCTGGATCCCTCTGCTTTCGTCATTACCAAAATGATAATTTGGGACTGTGAGTGCACATAAAGGCACTTCCTCCTCTGCCCTTCCCCCAGTGCTACAGAGTGTGTGGAGGAGCTACAGGGTGTGGAGGTACTCACAGACAGTCCTCCTTGTGGGTCAGAATGCCAGGTTCAAAAACAAGAAAGGGATTTGTGAGGCTAGGAAGGCATCTGCTCATTCCCTTAGAACTTCAAAGGAGTAGGATGAGAGACTTCTATCTGAAGATTTGTAATCTACACCAGCGTGGAAAGACTGCCAGATGTGGTAACAGGAGAGGGTGCACATTGTTCCTTCAAGCCCTCTTGGACCCAAAGATAACACCTATCTATGAATGGTCAGCTGGAATCAAGAGGTGTCACGAGTCACTTGGATATCAAGTTTTTCTTCCTGTGATACGAGTTTGAGGGAAGAGAGTTGAGTGATCACTCACATCCTTCCCAGTGGTACTCCTGGTGCCCTCTCCTCCAATCCTCTATCAGGGCTACACAGCCGACTGACACACACCAAACATTCTCCAGCCATCTCTCAAGCCCCACAATTTATGCTTGCTTGGTCTAGGGCAGGTGGATAGTTCCATACCTAACCTAAAGCTGGTTCTGTCTCAGAGGAGAGTGCTAGAACACTACTTTTGAGGTTTTTATTTGATGCAATTTTAATAGTAAATAAAGTAAATGCAAATATAAACTAAGCATACCTGTATATCAAGATTGTTTTTAAAATGCTTATTTAGCTAAGGCAAAATTGGGAAGTTTTTTGTCTGCTTCCACGTTTGAGCTCATCTCAAGGACTCTGTAGTGTTTTATTTTACGCAAGCACTCACTAAAAGAATTTTGAAAAACAATGTACCTTGTGCTTGTTTCAAAATGATACCTAAAATTTTTCATGAAAAGTTTAAATAGTACCAAAGGATATAATTTGAAGTATAAATATGACATTAAAAACTAGAACTGTTTCATGACTCCCTTAAACATATCCAATGTAATAAAATACCATACCGATTCGTTGTGTCATCCATTTTAAAAACATATGAAATGAGTTGTTTAGCAGTTAATAAATTTCATCACATTCTTTTTTCTCTTTGTGTTTGCATTTCAATTCTACTTCACCTACAAAATTTATCCCTAATATGTTTTGAATTTGAAAGTTGATATGGTTTGGCTGTGTCCCCAACTCAAATCTCATCTTGAATTGTAATCCCCATAATCCCCACGTCGTCGTGGGAGGGAGCCAGTGGGAGGTAACTTAATCATGGGGGTGGTTCCCCCATGCTATTCTCGTGATAGTGAGTGAACTCTCACAAGAGCTGATGGTTTTATAAGCGTCTGGCATTTCCCCTGCTGGCACTCATTCTCTCTCCTGCCGCCCTGTGAAGACATGCCTTCTGCCATGATTCCAAGTTTCCTGAGGCCTCCCCAGCCAAGTGGAACTGTGAGTCTTTTAAACCTCTTTTCTTTATAAATTTCCCAGTCTCAGGTATTTCTTCATAGCAATGTGAGAACAAACTAATAAAAAAGTTTTTATTATCACCTTATCATACTTCTCTATGACAAAATATAAAAATAAAGTGTTTACTTCCCATGACCATAAAGCTCTAAATGTAAAAAATTTCTTCTGAACTAAGTTATTATAATTAGTAGCAGTATATTAGTACACCATACTAATGCTGATAAATTATTAAATATAAAAAGTAAATTTTTTATTGGAAAGCAATTTTTTTTGAGACAGAGTCTCATTCTGTTGCCTACGCTGGAGTGCAATAGAGCAATCTTGGCTCACTGCAACTTCCATCTTCTGAGTTCAAGTGATTCTCCCATCTCAGCCTCCCAAGAAGCTGGGACTACAGATGCCCACCACCACACCCAGCTAATTTTTGTATTTTTAGTAGAGATAGGGTTTCACCATGTTGGCCAGGCTGGTCTTGAACTCCTGACCTCAAGTGATCCACCCACCTTGGCCTCCCAAAGTGCTGGGATTACAGGCATCAGCCACTGTGCCCTGCCAGAAAGCAATTTTTAATGAGGTAAACAGAGGTGGTTTTATTTCCCTAATGATTACATGTATCAAATCTATTTACAAATGTTATTTTTTGCTAGAATGAAACAGTTTAGCAACAAGTCTATTCCTACTTTTATTTTGATTTTCGATGCTGTGAACCCATGTTCAAAATAAGTAGAGGTATATGTAATGTATTCTGTTATAAAGACATCACCACTGAGTCAAAGAACTTCTAAGGAGTTAGATATCTAACAGTGATATATTATCCAAAATTATTCTGAATGTTCTATCAAGTGACAAATCCGCTGGGTCCTCCTTCAATTTTGTTGCAAGTAAAAATGAGAAAATGACTTAGAAAAGGATATGTCACTTGATAATTAGAGTCATTTACCTTCCCAATACCAACCCCAAGAGGTTCAAAGCTTATGGACAAAGCAGTCTAACAGATTCCAGATGTAGGAAAGGGCTCTTTTCTTTTGCAAAATGGAAGAAGGTCCATTGCAAAAGGGCAGGCTGGACAGAAGAACCAGTATGTATACTACCACAGGAATATGCCTTTTAGAAAAGAGAATCTAGAAATTGATTCAATGAAAACTACCTGTGCCCAAGTACATCTTAGAAAGCCTCTGTGTGTTGCCCTCCCCACCTGACTCAGATCAGGACACGCTACCCCAAACTATAACACCTTGGCATTTGAGAAAACAGCAGAAGCAAGAAAGCCCCTCTCATCTCCCAACCCTCTGTCATTTTCTCCTGAAACAGGTCTAAAACCTAGAAGGTAACTCTCTGACCTTCTTCCTCCTTTTTCCCCTGGAATCCCTCATGTGATAGATATCCTGCTTTACCCAGAGGGAGGGGATATCATACAGGGAAACCAAGAAGAATCCAAACAACCAACCTTTGCTAAGCCCCCCTCCAGGTTATTACCATTAGAATATACCCTTTTGTCCTCTAGTCATACTTCTGCATGACTGTCCATGAATATACACATATCTCATTTCTTTGGGTCTTCATTTCTAAAGGCTCTCATGTATATAAAACTTATATTAAACAAAGTTGTACACTTTTCTCTTGTTAATCTTTTGTTATGGGGACCTCAGCCATGAACCTAGTGATAAGTGAGGAAGCTACTACTTTTTCTCCCCTATACAATCCACCCTAGCAGTTGCATACACGAGCCTGAAATCTACTGCCTTAATTCACCTGTCCATTAAAACCCCCTTCTTTTGCAATAGCATCATGGACTGCCTCTAGCCATAAGCAAATTATCCTTCCGGACACTTAGAACTCTGTCAGTGCTCCACTCTATGCCACTTGATATGTCCTGCCTGCATTCCAGCATTGCTTCTCTAGTCTTGCAAAGCAGCTGGTTAAGTGTACAAGGTTGAAAGTCCAACAAACTTAGATTTATTTCTCAGCTCTGCCAGTTTACCCATTGTAAATTGATCCTGTGATCTTGGACAAGTTATTAAACTACTTTGGGCCACAGTTTTCTCCTGTGTAAAATGGGAACACCACTAACTACTTATATAGTGCACAGCTGGATTAAATTAGACAATTTATATAAAGCCTTTAGCACTGTGTTTGGAATTTAGTAAGTGCTAAATAACTGACGGCTGTGTTATTTGTATATGACTTAGTTCCTACAGATTAGGGGCCAAGCTTTATTCCATTTTCTGTGCTCTATAAAATAGGGTCTTATGCCAAAGAGGTGCCCAATAAATTCTTGTTGAATAAGAAGAAAAAGAAAAAAGGTGTCATTTATGGTAACTCACTAAAGCTGTGATTTTAACTTGAATATATAATAGCCCTTTCATTTTGCTTGCTTTTCTAATTTTCGTAGCTATGTTTGGAATGCTAAACACTCCCAAGAAGACTGAAAACATTAACTTTTTAGAGAAAATCTAACCAGACTCGCCATACATTAATAAATCTTTTACAGATGGAAAATAAGCCTAAGTTTCAAGGCAGAATAGAAAAGGATGCCAACAAAGGCTAACAGCCTGCAACAAACATACACCTGACTATATGGTCTACCTAATGCTCCTTGCAATTAACAGTTACTGCCTTTCCCCCTCTCTCTTGGCTAGGTAAGATGCCCCAAAGAACTTACACATTTTCTTCTAAAAATGGCTTAAAGTAAAAGTAGGCTGACTCTGACTATAAATGAGCAGAATGTATGGTCTTCTCAAGAGTATTTGTTGAAAACAAGTTAGAGCTACTGAAGAAATCACACATGGGGAAAAAACAGAAGTTGTATATTTTCAAATCATTCTAGACCTTTCACCTTTCTTAACTTCCATTTACTTTCCAAGCATGTACCATAGTATCCCAAAGACCTGGGTTAGGATCCTGGCTTTGCGCTTACTGCCTGTGTAATCTCAAACAAGTACTTAATGTTTCCATGCCTCAGTTTCCTCATCAGTAAGATGAGACTACCACCCATCTTTCTCATGGGGATACTGAAAGGGTTATACCCAGTAATGTTATCCACTGTTTTCATGCAAGGAAATCAGCTCAAATTAGAAAGGAATTCATGGTGAATGCACAACAGGATCTCACAGACTTCAGTTCATAGCTACTAAGCCTCCCTTCCCCTCTCTTCTCAAAGCTGTGTGATTCTCACAGTGAGCCAACTCCATTCTTCTTTCTCTGCAAACCAGCTTCTCTGTTCAAAGCTGTACCTGGTACCTGGACCGTAAAGCAGCCCCAAAAGGCTTGGTTGTCCCCAGATAACTGACTCATCTGCTGGACTGCACATCATCTTTTCTGGAGAAGGAATCTGGGCGGTTTCCTCAGAGGCCCCATTCTTACCCCAGGAGAGAAGAGAGGAGCAAGTCCACTGTTACAGAGGGCTCTTCCTCCACCCCTTCTGGACTCCTGCTCCAAAGACCAGCACAGTGCCAGTGACCCAAGGGCCAAGCAGGGCACCTGCTCCACAAGTGAAACTAGTTTTTTTTTTTTTTTTTAAGATGGAGTCTGGCTCTGTCGCCCAGGCTGGAGTGCAGTGGCACAATCCCTGCTTGCAACCTCTGCCTCCCGGGTTCAAGCGATTCTTGTGCCTCAGCCTTCCAAGTAGCTAGGACTACAGGTACACACCAACCATGTCCAGCTAGCTTTTGTATTTTTAGTAGAGACAGGGTTTCGTCATGTTGGCCAGGCTGGTCTTGAACTCCTGACCTCTGGTGATCTGCCCGCCTTGGCCTCCCAAAGTGCTGGAATTACAGGATTGAGCCACCGTGCCCGACCGAAAGTAGTTTCTTTCTTCTTTACCTCACCTATCTCTCCCTATAACCTACCAAAATAACCCTGAACTCTGAGAACCCCCAAAATCTTTAACATTGATATTAATAAGTAATGAGTAACTTATGGCCAAACAGAGCCAATAAAAAAATCAATCCCAGAGTTTTCAAAGTCTGAAGAAAATACTGGCATAGAAACCATCACCTCAGAACAATGAATTCTGATAGTAAAGCAAAGGTGTGGAATCCTCAGATGCCATCTACTCAGGAATATCTATCCCCAAAACAGAATCCCAAACCGCTGACAGACACACCCTCCAGCCCCCACCTGTCAAGAACAGGAGGGGTAAAAAAACAGGTAAATTTGCCCAATGCATTAGTAAAATCAAGAATTGCAACAACAAACAACTGCCGAGGTAGAGCCAATTCCCACTGCTGACTTCCAAAAGAAGGAGCAGGTTCAAGAAACGACTAGTCTAAGGTTGTGTTCACACACAACTCAAAGGCAGAGACAAAGCTATGCAAAAACTTTCTAAGAAGGAATGTCTTCTTTTTATTTTTACCCAGAAAGACAGCACTTTTTAACTATGAGTTAACCAAACAGGCAAAATCTCATATTCATCTCGTCAGTTTGGACTAAAAGAATAATTTTTAAACTGTAATAGAGCCATGGTTAAAGTTAACTTTATTCAATTTGTCAATAAGAGTTTCATTTGAACTTTAGGCTTTTTTCTTTTGAGACGGAGTCTTACTCTGTCACCCATACTGGAGTGCAGTGGCGCGATCTCGGCTCATTGCAGCCTCCGCCCCGCAGGTTCAAGCGATTCTTCTGCCTCAGCCTCCTGAGTAGCTGGGATTACAGGCGCCTGCCACTGCGTCCGGCTAATTTTTGTATTTTTAGTAGAGACAGGGTTTCACCACGTTGGCCAGGCTGGTCTTACACTCCTGACCTTGTGATCCACCCACCTCAGCCTCCCAAAGTGCTGGGATTACAGGTGTAAGCCACCGCATCCAGCCTGAGATGTTTTAAAGAATTGGCTAGAAGGTTTTTCCAAACACAAAAAGTACTGTGTATTTCCAATGGCAAAACTACATTTTATAATCTGGGAAGATCTTTTTCACAACTTTGCAAGACTTTTGAAATGGTAAAAACCCATATACTTAAAAAAAAAACTTTCTAAAATTCCACTGTATCTATTTTTCATATTTGGTCCTTCCAACTCTGTGGGCAGGTAAGTCAGACAGAATAAAGGAATTTTAGAAAGAAGAGGAATCTTTAAAGCTTACATACCCAATTATTGTATTTTATGGATAAAGGGATGAAAGCTGAGAATGCTGAATGACAAGTTACAGGTCACAACCAAGGCAGACCAGGAATTCAGGGCTACTCAAATCAGGTACAACTTTCACACTCTTTTTTTTAAGCTCCCCTACCACCCCACTAAGTCGCTTCTCAATTAAATGGCTTAAATAATCAGTCAAGAGGTAATTTAAACATCCCTCAGAGCAGAGGTTCTTACAAAGGAGAGAGGGAGGGACCACAGACTTGGACCATAACTCAGTCAATGGTCTAATTCTGATCTGTGCACTTGGAAAAGAAGAGCCACAATCACACTTTTGCCAAAACAAAGCTCCTCCACCATATTTTCAGAAATCATCTCCATAGCCACCCATATAACAATTCTAGGTCAGAATGTCTTGTTCTAACCCTTTTGTATGAAAATTTATACTAACTTCTTCCTTTTTCTGACCCAGAAGAAATAAACAAAAACTTCACAATACCCGTCAAAGGCCGGATAGATGTGAGAGCTATTATTATGTTACTGTCTTTTCCCAGTTTCTTTACCCTCTCTTTTCCCAAACATTCCTCCTTGCTAAGTGATTCTCATCCAGACATCCTCCACATTCTAGAACTTGCTACACCTGCAAATCATCACTTCTTTGGGTGAAAAACACAAAGCGTCCTCTACTTCATTTAATCCAAAGACTCTATACCATGAGTCTTCCTCATGAAATGGAGCACCCTCTGGCTTGAGGACTTATATGCCATCTTATGTACTTTAATCCTGGACTTATGCCCCTCTCCTTGAAGACTCTGGTTGTGTCTGCTATAACACAGGAGAAATTCCTAACATTTGAGTTTTGTACAATTGATCTTATATTGCTCTTTCTCTGTAAATCACAATGATCTAGGGTAAGAACAATGTCTCAGCTCTGAGCTTATTGAGAATGTCTCTATTGGAAATGTGGATGAGCATTTGTGAACTTCATGCATTCATGACAGTAATCTGTAGGGCTTTTGAAAAGTGCTTGGTAAAAATTCAAATGAAAATAAATCTCTCTCCCACTGCCAATCCCCATTCTCTCAGAAACGCTTCCCAAAGGCCACTACTGTTACTAGTTTCTAATGTATCCTGCCTGCAAGTATTATCTGCATGCATACTTTCCCACCCAATTTGTCTTTGTATATAATGGTAACACATTAAATACTACCGGGCCCCTCTGCTTCTCTGCCCCCACCATTTATATACCATATCCTGGAGATCATTTCGTATCTGTACATACAAATGTAACACATTCTTTCTTAGTCTTTCGTCTCTATATTGTAGACTGTAACTGACCTGTGTTCATATCTCAGCTTTGTGACTCTGTACAAGTCTCAGCCTCTGCTTTCTCACCTAAACATTGAGAATTACAGCATCTTCTAAAAGAGTAAGCTACTATCTGCAGAGTGTCTAGCACAGTGCCAAGCACATGGTAATGCTCAGCGATCATTAGTCCTGACATTCCTCTCCTTTGGTGGGCTCCTCATGGGGCCTGGCCTTTCATAGCAGATACTGTGGGACTATGGAATCAGATTGACACAAGCTCCAATCCTGCTCTCAGATTTCTTGTAACAGAGACATGGTATTTCATGTGGGGCAGAGGCTGGGGAACATATATTACTTTATTAGGCCAGTTTCTTTCTAATGGATATTTAGGTAGTTTCCAGTCTCTGTGATGACAAACAACACAGGAGTAGTTCCGCTGATATTATAGAAGTGACGTATTTGATCTAATATCTTCCTGGACAAACTCAGAGATTGGGGACTTGCTTTTGAATTCCCTGATCCAGAGCCACAGCTTCTGTGCGCTCCTCATTCAACAATTTTGCTTCCCCTCTGGGAGCCCTTTCAGCTTTGCCTTTTCTTTGTCTTCTCTGTTCCTATTGTCTGCTTAACATGAAAAATGCACTCAGGTAGGCCTGGCAGCTAATTACTTCAAATAGGGGAAACCACCTTACATAGAAGATGGAATGATTAACTGTGTGAACTTTAAAATTATCACACAATGTCATCACTGTTAATGAACACACTGTAAGAAGTTTGTTCTTTCCAATTCATAGTCATAGAAAATCCCAAGAGGGCTGGAGAGCAGTGAAGATCTGAGGTGGGGAGGAGAGGAGGGTAGAGATGTTGGTGTAAAAAAAAAAATCAGAGAAGAAAAATGGCTTGAACAAATACTAGATGATTCCATTTATATGAAGTACTAAAGTAGTCAAAATCATAGAAACAAAGTAGAAAGACGATCACCAAGAGCTGGGGAGAGCAGGAAGGGGTAATTGGTGTTTACGGGGTATAGTTTCAGAGTCATAAGATGAAAACACTCTAGAGATTGGTTGTACAACAATGTGAATATATTTAATACTATTGAACTTACTCTTAAAATGCTTAAGATGGTAAATTTAATGTTATGGTTTTACCACAATGAAAAAAAAAAAAAAGGCTTGGACTAAATGCTACTCTGAAGAGTAGAAACATAGTAAGAAAGACACTTCCTAACTCTGTGATCCTGATACTGCTCCCAACAGCTGCCCTGGGGTGCTAAAATCTGTAGGCAGGCAGGACAGAAGAAACCTTCACATAGTATGCTCTGACTGGCCCAGTTCTTCACACTCGATTTATACTGAATGTTCTAGATTTAAGTGAGAGTGTCCAATTTCCTTTCCAAGCCCCTCTCACTGTACTTGAATGGCCTCTCCTTACCCCTCACTCTCAAAAGCCCACAGCACCTCAACATAATAACATCATCCTTTGTATATGAAGTTCATGCCATTACAGCGAATATACCTCAGACATTGACAGATGGATTCACAGTGGTCCACACTGTGAATAGAAAGACATCCTTTTGGTTTAGGAGAAGGAAACTAAAGTGTACCAAGCCTCTACAAGTTCTGACAAGATACTCAGCCCATTTCAGACACATCCCCATGACAGCAACTCATCTGACAGATGAAGAAATCAAGGCTCAAGCTGGCTAAGTGACTTTATAATATTACATGTCTAGTACATGGATTACTGAAGCTGAACCAGCAAAGTACCAGGATCCAGCTTACTGGATCGCACTGATACATCCGTCTCTATTCAGATAACTCACCTTTCCTCTGCCTTCAAAACACAGATTTGACTGCCACAAGCCACACTGAGGTTCTGCTGACTTGCATCTGACACAATGTGCCAATCAGAGGAAGTGTTCAATAAATAACTATTGTTTTGACATTGCTATTTCTTAGCAGCCCAGAGCTATACTTCATCAAATGAAACTGTACTTCATTATATCGAATAATTTCTCTGTCTTCCCTGCTTTGACTGCACCTACCTTGGGTCAACAATAGATGCTGGTTAGCTACCCTCAGGGGAATCATTCACTATGGGGGGTCCAGAGCTGTGTGGCACCATCATCCCCTGGAGTTGGCCCACTGACCTACTAACTACAAAGTGCTCACGTCTGGAGTAATGGAGTGTTTGAATCAAACATAGTCGTGATTGCTGAGGATGCTGCAGAAACATAGTGTGAGCCCCAGGGCAGATGGAGTCACCTGTCACATGGTAGATCAACCACTCACACCAGCTCTGTCAAGGGACAGAGTTTCCAGGGAAGCAGCCCTCAAGCCAAATCTGTTGATCAGAAATGTTTAACTTAGCACACAAAGTCTTCTTATAATAAAATTAATTGCTAGTATTTCAAATTCTAGGAAGTTCACATGAACATCCAGATTTTGTACTTCTCTTGAAACACTGGAAGATACATCAACACTAGGTCCACTCCGCTGCACAGAAACAACTGGCTTGGTCCAAGCGGTAAGTAGCTGTCCTCTTGCACACTGTGCACAAACCATCCTCTCAGAAATCATTTTCACAACCCCTTATGCACTCTGTTTGCAGCCCCTTCCACAGAGGCAGAATGGGAATGCCAAAAATGTCATCTTATCTTGCTTTGCAATAGTTCAAAGATTATGCTGCAAGTATTTGTGTGTTCAGTGAGATATTTTTAAGAACTTAAAATGCTGCATCAGATAATCAAAGCCTTGTGTATCCATCCCAAATGGCTTCACCCATTACTTTTCTTATAGCTAATTATGAATTATATCCAAATATTCTGTCTTCATTGCCTACTTACAGCAGAGACGATCTCCTTTGACAGGAATCCAACTGTGTGAGTTGCCAAGAACTTGTCAGAGAGAGGGTTGTAACAGGAGGGCACTTTTTCCTCCTGCCGTCCCTTTTCTGGCTTTACCCAAGCTCCTCTGAGGCAGTTTAGACTTGCAGGAATGCTCTGGCTGCCTGCCCTGATGCTGACCTCCTCTGGGTGGGGAAGCAGGCAGCTGGGTGCAGGGCACTTGATTCTGGAATGTACTTCCTCATAAAGGTGCCAGGGCCTGCACTTGGCAAATTCTAAACACAATGGCTTTTTAGCTGCCAGGGCATTTATTACTCCTGATTGAGAGGTGAATAAACATGCTTTTTAAACTTACAGACAACTGGGATGCAAGTTAAGGGGACTAGTCATCTAGTTTGATTGAATTACTTTAACTTCGGAATTAAAAAGAAAGGTCTTCTAAAGTAAAAACTCATTTAGTATAAATTAATGATACAAACTAACAAAAAGTAATAACCCCCATCACGACTTTTTAAAAAATTATATACAAATGTTTTGTGTTTTTTTTGAAACACATCACATTTATTCATTTGCATATTTTCAGTGACACTATTGTGCTACAAATGGCAGAGGTGAATAGTTACATCAGAAACCACATGGCCTGCAAAGTCTAAAATATTCATTATCTGGCCCTTCGTGAAAAACGTTTGCCTATTCCTACTCCACTAAATAACTCTTGTGGGGTATTTTTATTTATTTATTTATTATTTTTATTTCAATAGTTTTAGGGGAACAGGTGGTTCTTGGTTACATGAGTAAGTTCTTTAGTGGTGACTTCTGAGATTTTGGTGCCCTCATCACCCAAGCAGTGTACACTGTACCCAATGTGTAGTCTTTTATCCCTCACCCCCTCCTACCCTTCCCCCAAATCCCCAAAGTCCATTATATCATTCTTATGCCTTTGTGTCCTCATAGCTTAGCTCCCACTTAAAAATGAGATCATATAATATTTGGTTTTCCATTCCTGAGTTACTTCACTTAGAGTAACGGTCTCCAGGCCAGGCACGGTGGCTCACACCTGTAATCCCAGCACTTTCGGAGGCCAAGGCAGATGGATCACGAGGCCAGGAGATCAAGACCATCCTGGCTAACATGGTGAAACGCTGTCTCTACTGAAAATACAAAAAGTTAGCCAGGCATGGTGGTGGTCGCCTGTAGTCCCAGCTACTTGGGAGGCTGAGGCAGGAGAATGGTGTGAACCCAGGAGGCAGAGTTTGCAGTGAGCCGAGATCACGCCAGTGCACTCCAGCCTGGGAGGCAGAGCTAGACTCTGTCTCAAAAAAAAAAAAAAAAAGAATAATGGTCTCCAACCTGATCCAGGTTGCCACGAATGCCATTATTTTGTTCCTTTTTATGGCTGAGTAGTATTCTATAGTGTACATAGTAATATAAACACCACTTTTCTTTATCCACTTGTTGGCTGATGGGCATTTAGGCTGGTTCCATAGTTTTGCAAATACAAATTGTGCTGTTATAAATATCGTGTGCAAGTGTCTTTCTTATATAATGACTTCTTTTCCTCTGGGCAGATACCCAATAATGGGATTGCTGGATCAAATGGTAGCTCTACTTTTAGTTCTTTAAGGAATCTCCATACTATTTTCCACAGTGGTTATTCTAGTTTACATTCCAACCAGCAGTGTAAAAGTGTTACTTTTCACCATATCCACACCAACATCTATTATTTTTTTTATTTTTTAATTATGGTCATTCTTGCAGGAGTAAAGCGGTATCTCATTGTGGTTTTGATTTGCAATTCCCTGATCATTAGTGATGTTGAGCATGTTTTCACATGTTTGTTGGCCATTTGTACATCTCCTTTTGAGAACTGTCTATTCGTGTCCTTTGCCCACTTTTTGATGGGTTATTCATTTTTTTTCCTGCTGATTTCAGTTCCTCGTAGATTCTGGATATTAGTCCTTTGCTGGATGCATAGTTTGCGAATATTTTCTCCCAGTCTGTGGGTTGACTGTTTACTCTGATCATTTCCTTTGCTGTGCAGAAGCTTTTCAGTTTAATTAGGTCTTATCTATTTATTTTTGTTTTTGTTGCATTTGTTTTTGGGTTCTTGGCTATGAACAGCTTTGCCTAAGCCAATGTCTAGAAGAGTTTTACCGATGTTATCTTCTAGAGTTTTTATGGTTTCAGGTTGCAGTGAACCAAGATTGGACCACTGCACTCCGGCCTGGGTGGCACAGTGAGACTCTGTCTCAAGAAAAAAAGTCAGGATAAAAGCAATTCAAAAATCAGACTGAAAGGTGGTCTCAGCAAAGTCTTAAATTTTAACACAGCACTATTTAATCCTCTTT